>NC_000006.12:102040486-102192002 GCF_000001405.40 Homo sapiens | reverse complement strand
CTGGGATACTTAGAACTTCAAAAAGGCAGGCATAATATGATAACAGTAAAGAGGAAAACTGAAATCTCAAGATTACTTAAAAATCTATAGCTAAATATTCATTCCCATAAACCTTCCACACATAAACTCCATACTCTACCCTATAACCATTCTTAAAAGTACCTTCGGGACTGATTCCACCACCACCACCACCACCACCACAACAACAAAATAAACCAAGGAAGAGAAAAAAATACAATCTAATAAATTATGGCTGAAGTCCAAGATGTCAAAAGATCATGATGGAGGACTGACATTAGCAAGACGGTGGACTAGGAAGTCTCTTTTTACTCACAGAAACACCAAGTCACAGAAACACCAATATATGGACCATAATGCCACTGCAAGAATGCTAGAGACTGCCTCAATGTATTTGACAAGCTACAGTACTCAGGCAAATGTAAAAGCAAGAAGAGTTTCCACAAAAGGGGAGGGAAAATTCATAATGTTTTGTACATCCATCTATACCCATGTGCAACCAGGAGGAAACTTCTCATATGGGGACTCTTCTTTCATGACAGAGAAGTATAATCTGTGAAATAAAAAAAATCACTAGAAAAATTAAAAGGCAAATTTAAGCAAGCAAAAGCAAAACTCAACAAACTTAAAAATAGGACAATTAAAACTATGGAGTCTAACAGAAAGAAAAAAGACTAAAGAAAACTGAACAGAGCCTATGGGACCCGTGGACGTCATCAAGTATAACAATATACACATCGTGGGAGTCTTAGAAAGGAGCAGAAAGATATTTCAAAAGAAAAATACTCGGAAAAATCCCAAATTTGAGGAAAGACATAAATATTAATATTCAAGAAGCTCAAAGGACTCACTTAAAGAAATCTACACTGGGATACATTTTAATCAAACTTTCAAAGGCCAAAGATTAAAAAAATAATTTTAAGAGCAGCAAGAGAAATGCAACTTTTCAAATACAAAATATTCTCGCTAAAGCTATCTGCAGATTTCTCTTAAGAAATATTGGAGGCCAGAAAGCAGTGAGCTGATTCATTCAAAGTGCTAAAAGAAAATAAACAACATACCCCCCGCTCAAAAAAAAATCCCCATTAACCAAGAATCCTATTATCTGGCAAAACTGTCTTTCAAATTGAGTAAGAAACTAAGACATTTCCAGATAAATAAAAGCTAAGGGTGGTTGTTACCACTAGATCTCCCCTGGAAGAAATGCTAGGAACAGTAATCCTTGGAATCCAGCTTTGAGGAAGTCCAAACTTCCGTATGAAGAGGCCCACATAGAAGAGAACCAGGTGTTTGTTCCACATTGATAAGAAATTAAAACACACATGCTTGAAAAGCTACACACACACATATATTTAAATACATACAGATGCTCCTCAATTTACAGTGGGATCATTTCATGATAAACCCATTTTATGTCCAAAATATATCCCAAGAAACCTATCACAAAGTCAAACAATCATAAGTCAAACCAGGGTAAGTTAAATACTATCAAGATATGCAATATATATTGTCATAATGGATACACATATACATGTTATACTTGAATTCCAAAGCCACATACTTTGTGACTCGATTACTTTACTTCTCCTTATTACTTCTGGAAGACCTTCCTTATCTAATTATTCAAATTCATTTTTAAAATAAATGAAGGCTGGGAGCAGTGGCTCATGCCTATAATCCCAGCACTTTGGGAGGCCGAGACGGGCAGATCACGAAATCAGGAGTTCGAAACCAGTCTGGCCAATATGGTGAAACCCCATCTCTACTAAAAATACAAAAGAAAATTATCCAGGCAAGGTGGTGCCTGCCTGTAATCTCAGCTATTTGGGAGGCTGAGGCAGGAGAATCGCTTGAACCCAGGAGGCGGAGGTTGCAGTGAGCCAAGATCGCACCACTGCACTACAACCTGGACAAGGTCACAAAGCTTACAGTTTATATTTAGTTTATGAATAGAGGTAGTGGTTCCAGAAATCAGAATGACTTAAGTTTGGGCTATGTTGTTATAGGTGGTTGGCCTTGGCATATATCTAAACTGTGGCCTCCATTTTTATTTTTCTTTGACAACATCTTTTAAATATTGTAATAACTAAACTTTCTTATTGTGTTAGCTACCTGAACCATAGACAGATGATACTTGTAGTAAAATAAGAACAGCGTAAAGGTGATGAAGAAGGAATTGGAATGTAAATGTAACGCACAAACTTACATATATTTAACCTTTGTAACAACCCTTATAAATAAATAAATTGGTGTTCAAAGAGTTTATCAAAATAACTGAGATTTAAACTCAAGTATGAGAGTCTTCAAAGTCCCTATTCTTACTACTGTACTCTTGTGTCTTACATGCCCAGCCCACACGATCTTGTAAAATATTAAATAAAATCATGTAGAATCAGGAAGTGTTCCACAGCTAATATATTACAGAAAGTTGAATATAGAATCATGCTTATGCCAAATATTTTATAAAGTACTGCTACACAATGTGCGGTCTGGAAAACCATCATCATCATCTGGATGCTTTTTGGAAATGCAAGACCACCTCTGAGCTACTAAATCAAATATCTGTGATTGGAGCCTAGCAATCTAGTATTACATAAGGTGATACTAATATATTCTCAATTTAGAAACTAATGCCTTACAGTACTTGGAAGACAGAAGCATCCACTTAAAATTTCCTCTTTTCATAGATACAGAGACTAAAGATAAGTATATTTTATCCTTTGAAGTTCTGATAATTAACAAGTGGCAGAGCCAAAATTAAAATCAAGATATTTTGATTACCAGTTAAAGGCAATTCAGTAAGATTTCACTTGAAACATGTCAAAGTTTGACTTTAAATAGCATAAAAGTTTTGTTTCAAACGAAAGAATCAAAATTTTATATACACATATAAACTTATCTAAATATGCTGAAACGACAATTGCTCTTGCAAGGGCATTTGCAGAAAATTGAATCTCACTCAGCAGGCTACCAAATCCAGCTGGAGTAGGGCAACGACCAGGGAGGTTCACAAAAGAAACATGCTAAGGATACATTGAGCCAGCATGAACTGATGAGGCATGATTATAGAGTGTTGAGACATAATCATAGCATAAAGAACAGACTAGAGTACCGAAATCAGAAATATGACCAAAGGCTTTGCAAACATCTGCTTTAACCCAACTCAAGATTACTATTCACATTTGCTCAGGGTAAAACAATCTGCTGGTCACACTTTATCAAACTTAGATGTCAATTTTGAAACATGAGAGTGGAAAGAAATACATATCTGCATATATATTCAAATGTACTTAAATACTCAGAAAAAACATTTTAAATATAGGTAATAGATAAAAACGCAAATATATAGACAGGTATGGCATTTTAGTATTCCTGATGTCATGAAATTTCTATTTTAACTTTGGTAACTTTGGGGAAAAAATTGGATACCATTGTCTTCACTTGGAGATTGGCAAGTACTTTAGCCTATAAATTATCCTTAAAATGTCCAAGAGCAAATAAAACTTTTCTTAAGACTTCATTAACCATTCTTACTTGAACAAGGACTTTTCTAAAATGTCCAAAAAGTATATAGTCTGCCACTAGGGACAGACACCTACCCTATTCTTCTTTTATGTCGGTGTCCCTGCTGCCAGTTCTATCTTTGGAAGAAAAGCAGGACTATATATCCCAAATGCCACTAACAATCCTGTGGAAAGGAAGTCACAGGCTGCTGAGATTGTATATAAAAATATTATGTTTTGGCTTCCCTTAAAAAAATCTAAAAAGAATGCACTTACCTTCCTGCAAGGCAACAATTAACACTGACCTATTAGTGGTTGCCATGTTGCAGAGACAAGGGCTCTTATTTTGCCACAGTGCCCACCTTAGTTAAATTCATTCTATTTTATAATCTGTTTCCCCCTGTACATTTATGAGCTTATCTTTGCTGTGGGACTTATAGAAATAAGAGTTCACTTCAGATAACAAGTCATCCCCAATGATTTAGGTGGAAGTTTGCCCATAATTACTTTGCTACTTCATGAATAAACTACCTTCTGATGATATTGATAGCTTAGAATGCAAATGCTGCTTGTACTCATAGTATTCTTCTCCTGAATATCCAATAACATTACTTCTTACTTTAGGTTGAAAATAGTAAAATAAATAAACTATTGATAACTGTAGTTTAAATTACAAATGTAAATTAAAAACCTTTTCCCCTATGTTTTAATAAGATTATTTAAAAATTATACCACCTCTCCTCTTTGGAAATCTAAATTTCATTAATATTGCCAGCAATGTTATTCCAATCATCTCTTTGTACATAAGGGAATCAGACTGGCATTTGCTTTTATTCTATTTAAACATCTATGAAGAACAAGAGTAAAATGATAAATATGCTAAACGTATATTTGAATTGCAATTTAATACAACGCCTAGATTTTATGTTTGGAGAGTATTCCTTTGGCAATAAAATAATTATCATTTAAAAGAACTAGAAAAGCTGAGAAATAATACATATTATTCAGCTTTCCTCTCTACTCGTTTCTAAGAGCTGTCTTTGTTCTTCCTTCTGGGCATGAAATGAAGATAAGCCACTCTGACTTTCTCCTTCTGCTCATTTGTTTCTTCTGGCTATGGCTGTTCCTGAAGGAAATAGAAAGTGTCAGGAAGCTGAGAAAGCAGCTTATATGTTATCTGGGCTGGTTTTTCTGTTCTCTGCCTGCTCAATAAGAAACTGTGGAATAATTTCCTCTCTTCAGTACTGTTAGGGTTCTTTTGGGCAAAGGGGAAGAAGATACATTCTTTAAAAGTTTCTATGTTGAGATGGTTTTAGGCTCACAGAAAGGTTGCAAGAATAATACTGAGAGTTTTTATATCTATTTCAACTAGCTTCCTCTTAACAACTTATGTGACCGTAGAACTTTTATCAAAACTAAGAAATTAACACTGATATAATCATGATATAATCATATTAGCAAAAACACAAAACATATTTAAATTTCATCAAAGTTTTTCTACTGTTGCCTTTTTTATGATTTAGAATGTAAGCCAGGATCTCACACTGCATATTCTTATTATGCCTTCTTAGTTGCCTCCAATCTAAGAGACAGTATGGGTCTTTTCTTTAAAAAACCTGACATTTTTGAAACATAGTGACCAGTTATTTTTTGGAATGTATTTCAACTTGGATTTATCTGATAGTTTCTCTTGATTAGACTGAAGCTGTGCTTATTTGGACTGACATAGTAGAGCGATATGCCTTTCTCAATTAATCTTATCAGGAAGATATATGATGTTCCTATGTCTTATTACTGATGATATTAACTTTGACCATTAGGCACTTGCTAGGATTCTCCAATGTAAAGTTAACTATTTTTTGCTTTGTAATTATTAAATATTTAATAGGAAATACATCAAGACTATGTAAATATCCTGTTTCTGCTTTAACTTTTTTTCACCAATTTCTACATTGAAAAGTGGATTGGCGATTTTTTAATTCTTGCTTTCCTTCCATCATTAATATATGAAATTCTTCCATAGGAAATATTTGTCTATCTCCTCCATCTATTGATTTATTTTGTCGTTTTTTGTATTATATAGTCCAATGAGTTTTTATTTTATGTTGGGAGGTATAATTTAATACCATTGTTATAGTATAAGGTATTTCAACTTTGGCTATGGGGAGTTGTTTCAGAATAATTCTTGCCTCCTTCTGATATTACCTGTCCTTTTAAAAGCTATTTTTAAGCAGTTCCTTATGTTGAGGCAACATAAAATGCTTCAGGTTCACCTTGTACTTTTCCTGTCTCATTTCTGGAACTGCCGATTTTCCAAGGAGTCCACGTTCCTTTTAAAGTATAATGGTATTTAGAAACCAAAATCTTGTCTGTAGATGATGTGCTCATTGTTACTATGATGTCACTGCTGCTAGCATTTCTGATTGGATAGAGCAAGGGTATATATCTATATATCTCCATATATCATATGTATCATAATATATATCAATATGTTATATAAAATACATATAATGCATAAATATTTCCACACATACACATAAACACAGTAACTAGTTCACTCATACATCTGTATAAATCTCTCTATATACAAAGAGTTTATTTGATGCTTCTCATTTCAATCCAGCATCACAGAATTCATTTTGGCCTTTCCTTTTTTCTGATTTATAACTGCTTATGTGCACGGTGAGAATATCTTTCATTATCTACAATATATTTACTTGTTTGTTCAACCCTAGGAAACAAATAAAGTAGCTTCAGAATTCCTAACTCATAGTCTTACGGAAAACAAATTTACTAACTAGAGTACAATGATTGCATATGATTATTTTTGTCTTATGCTATATAATATGCAGTCAAAATTCTGTTTTCTAAAGTCCGTTAGTTCACTTCCTCTCTTTCCCATCAGTGGAGGAAGTTTTAATAAAGATCTTGAAGAATTTCACTAAATCTAAAGCTAAGAATGCATCTAAACTTCCACAACAACTAGAACCAAAAACCTGAATATTATAAAATATTACTTAACACCAGCTGTTTTCTTACATCACTTTTTCTTGTTCTAAGTAACTAGTACATTGATTTTTCCCCCTTTAGCATTCGTTCTGTATGCAAACCATGTCTTTTCATTCTTCTGTTCTTTCCACATGTTAGGAAACAGGTGCATGTCAAGCCCTGGAATTTTACATGTTAGGCCTTTATCCAGCTCCCTGTTCAAGCCATGGAGAAAGTTGCTGGTAAAACTGGTGCTAGGTGGGTACTAATCTGGCATTCACTTTGGTGATCATCATAATTCATCTTTCCAGCACAATAGTTGTCTGTTATTTTTCATATAAAATTCTCAGAATGTCCCCGCTTACCTTATATTTAAGATTTCTTAAAACTACACCAAAACCACACCAAAAACCTCAAAAAACAACACCAAATCTACTCATCTCTCCCACTATTGGTAGTCACTTATTGCTATGTTTAGTTCAAGACTCCTTGACAGTGTCACAGACAGTATTCTCTGAATCCACACTCTCTATATATTGTTGCTATTTCATCTAGTCAGTCTCAGTCTTTCTTTGATTTACTTCTTCTCTATCTTGAAGCATATGGTCTAAATCAAGGGTCAGCAAACTTTCTTTTCAGCAAGGCCAGTTAGTAAATATTTTAGGCTTGATACTCATACAGCCTCTGTTACTACTACTCAATTGTATCACTGTAGCACTAAAACAGCCATAGCGCCACATAAATAAATGTGTTTTGGTTCCAATAAAATTTATTTATAGACATTGAATGGAATGTGTATTTTATTATATTTGTATGCTATGAAATATTATTATAAAATTTTTCCCACAATTAAAATGTGTAAACCATTTTTAGTTCACAGCTTGTACAAAAACAGGCAGTGGCCAGGATTTGGGCAAAGAGCTTTCATTTGACAATCTCTTGTCTAAATAATAAATTTAGCCACTTTCAAAATACCTGATACACAAAAGTGAAAGAAAAGCAGAATAACCATAGTAAAGAATTCCACTCAGGGAAAGAGATGCATCGTGCCTTGACCATTGATTCTAAATGTCCTATTTAGTAGCTTCTCAAACAGGGATAGTGAATCTCAGAGGTGTGTCCATATTAGCTTGCCTTTCTTAGCAGATTGTTCCCACTGGAAGGCTTTTTCTTATGAAAGTTGAATTGTTTTTCCTACTTTTACCTAGTCATTTTCTACAAATTTACAACAAATATCTATCTCTATCTAGCAGCTTTTATGTACCAAGAACATTTCTAGACCTTTTGGATATAAAGTGAACAAAATAGACAAAAATATCTATATTCGTGAAGCTTACATTCCAGTATGTCTTTTGGTTAGGATTCAGTAGAGACAGATATCAAAGAATAAAAACAATATAAAATTAAATTACATGCTATCTTCTAGGGGTTGAGCATTACGCAAGAGAAAGAGTAAGTGAAAAGAGAGGAGAAATGAGATGGAGGTGGCCAATTTTCAATCAGGTAGTCAGAGCAGATCTCACTGAGAAGGTGACATGAGAACAAATGATTTGAGGAGGTGAGGGAATTAAGCTTAGGAAAATCAAGGACTGAAAGTTTCCAGGAAAGATAAGAGCCATCACAAAAGTCCTAATGTCCCAAGACTAATGTGTCTGAGGCAGAGTGAGGCAAGGCAAGTATAGCAGGAATGGAAGACAGAGGATTGAAACAGAATGTTCTGATTTAATTCCATGGAGACAAATAGCTTAGCTAAACAGGTACAAGCCAGAATATAAAAAGAAAATGGGATAGAGAGAGAGAGAGAGAACTGTTACTCTTTAATAAAGACATGACCTCAGTGATTTAGATGTTAAGGACATTTCATTAATAAAACTTTTGGGCAATCCGTTTCTTCAATTTTACCTCTTGTCTTCTCTCTCCTTTCCTTTAATCTACTTAGGATGTGTATAACCTAGGGACAGATGGAAACCTCAGTCTCATTGAGTAAAAGGGAAAAGGGAGGGAAGGAGGGAGGAGGAAAATAAAGAAGAAAAGGAGGAAAGGAAAAATCAATAAAGGAACAAAAGAAAAGGTAAAAACTGTACTACTTAAAAGAGATTTTTATATATATTAAATAGCCTCAAGTAACATGTAGTAAACTCAAATATTCTCATTCTAACAACTTATTAATATTAGAAACTTCTCTTTAAAATGAGTATAGATCTTTCCATTTTTATCAAGTGTCAATGCTATCTGGTTTGAGGCTGCATTTTGAATAGAACATTAAACAATCCTGATGGTATTAGAATCTGAAGTTTTAATAAAGTTTTCAGAATATGAAATTATTAAAAATGCAAAAATAATAACTCCTTTGAAAATCTATGAGGGATTATTTCTAATTTCACAGAATCATTAGGGCACTCTGTATATTCCTTTGATTTTAGTATCTCCTAGCTCATATGTGAAAATTTTGTTGCCAAGCAAGAAGGTTAATAGTGCATGTTGATTCACTTCTAGGTTTGGTGTTCCCAAGTAATTACAATTTTTATCTTTTCTTTTTGAACAGAAATGAAGTATTTCTAAATATTACACAATCTGAATTTTAATGGCTACCTAGGGCAAAATGGGGCTTATCATAGTTCCATGATCTTTTTGACTATGGAAAGCATGAACTACTACTCGTTAATAAAAACATGACCTCAATGATTTAGATGTTAAGGGCATTTCATTAATAAAAGTTTTGGGCAGTCCATTTCTTGTATTTTACCTCATCTCTTTTCCTATAATCTACTTAGGATGTGTATGATCTAGGGACAGATGGAAACCTCAGACTCTTTGGGTAAACAGTCATATAAACATAAATGCAAAAGAGAAAGCAATGTAGTATGTCATGAAATACTTTCATTTATTACAATAAGCACTTTTTTATTCACAAACTTATTTTACTAACTTTTAAATTATTTTTGCTTTTTACTTCCCATTTCTTCTTTCTGGATACATTTTTTTCTTCTTCCTGAAGTATTTAATGCGCTATCATGAGGGCCCTGATTAGAAATATTTCCAATTTTTTGCGTATTTAAAATTATCTTAATTAGCCCTGGCTCTTGGTTAGGGGATACGGGGTTCATAGTTCTTTTCCTCATCATTTGAAATACATTACTCTGTTGTCTTCTGGCTCCTTAACAACTGATAATAAATTTTAAAATAATAATAAGTTGCAATCTCTAATATATATCAGTTTTTCTCTACATGCCAGGGATGGTTCTGAGGATTAAGTGAGATAATATGTGCAAAGTGCTTAAATGAGGAGTCCAAGGCACAGAAAGATGGAGTAGCAAACAACTGAGCTTGCACAACTTAGAAATCACTGAACAGAATTCGAGTCCAGGGACCTCTAACAACAAATGTGTTGCTCATGTGAGTTGTATTGTCCTGTAGTTAACCTGCCTTTATCACCTGGTAGTTTTAAAGGTTTTTTTTTTTAATTTTTTTCGTTAGTGTTTTACCTTTTTACTAGAAAATGTCTATATCTAAATAGCATTTATTTCTACTTTATCTTCTCAGCACATACTGGTTTTCTTAAATCTAAGTCTCATGTTTCTCTTCGATGCTGCAAAATTCTTAGTCATTATCTGTTTGACTATTGTATTTTTCTCATTCTGCTTTATCTTTATACAGCAAATAATAGTTGTGCAACTGTGCTTCTCATTTTATCCTTCCTCTTTTTATTTTCATTTTTATAATTTTTTTCTTCATTCATCAACAATACGTTTATTCATAGTATGTCTTAGAATATATACTTATTAATTTTTATTAATTTAATAATTTTCTCTCCAGCTGTGTCATATTAGTCTCCAGAAAATAGTCAGATTAGCCAATCTACTCTTCAGATTTTTAATTGAAAAAAATAGTTTTTATTCAACTAATGTAAAAAAATACCTTTTTTCACATTTAAGATTTCTTATTGCTTCTTTTCACATGTGTCTCTTTTTTCTTTGTTTATTGTTTTCTTTTATTTTTTTTGGAAGCCTTTCCTATATTTTGAAGATATAATATATATACATATATAATTTCAGATTATTTTGTTGACTCCAGTTCTTTGGAGTTCTACTCTATTGATTGCCCTTTATGTTGCTGAAATTTCATCAGTGTATTAATGTCTTATAATTTCTGTTTAAGTGTTTATCTTCTGTGGAAATGTTTACCCTTCAGCTTACCTAAATCCTGTTGCTTGGTTGCTTAACCTGGCATACCTACAGGCTGTCATCCATCCATCATTCTTTTATTTAAAGAAGATGTTATTCCAATTTGATACTTTTTATTTTTTTCTTTTTAAATCCTGGCTTCCCCGTGTTTTTCTAATAAAAAAAAACTGTGAAAAATAATTACAGAATGATAATAGAGGATTATTAGCTTGCAGGGAGCCTATATAGTACTATAAATTGTTTCATTCTCTCTTGAAACAGTTCCTCATTGAAATGCATGTTTACTCTGAAAGCACTTGAAAATCTAAAGCTTCTCTTATTTCTGGTGATGTTTTAAAGGTTCTTAAAGATATGTCAGATGCATACACCAAAAAATACCTCTCAGAATCTGAAGTACATTTAGAATAATCCGTATGAAATGACATGGCAATATAAATTCTTTTCTACTTGTAAGTATACCAGGATACAGAACCTAATGGAATATTTATAATATTTTTTAGTTATTTATTATTGTAGAGAATCTTTTAAAATATTAAACTGATATTAAGAGTATTGATGTCTAAGTAAAACATATTATTACAAAACAGTAACTTTGCTCATTGATTTTAGCTAAATTTACAAAGTAAGAGAGCTGCTTCTAATCATTGCAATTGAACTACACTTACTTTTTCAGGATCACTGACAACTCTAGCTGTCATTATAATTTTCTGTGAAATCATAGTAGCAAACTTCTTTTACTATGTAATCAGAATTATAAAAATGAGAAAGAAATTAAAAACAAAGAAAGGGAGAAAAAACAAGGAAAGAAGAAAAAAATAAAATAGATGACTGTCACAGCAATAACATTTTAATAATGTAATATATTTCGTTTCTTCTTTTATATCCTCAAACTTGAATCCCATAAAAATTCACTCATTACTTTTGTTGTAAAGACAACTTCAAAACCAATAAATAATTAAATTTCATAGAAACAATAAAAACCTATCATTGTTTTTAATTCTTCTTCATGATATATTTGGATATAACAATATTATAACTGGTTTGTTTTTCTTCAAATTTAAGCGCAATGATAATTTCATTAGCAATTCAGTGATAAGTGTTTTCTGTTATTACTATTATTTGTTTTACAGTTACAGTTTAACAAATATCTTATATCCAGATTTTAGAATACATTAAAAATAGTTTTTAATAGAATATTTTAATTTCATGGCATTTCTTTGTACACCATCCTTTCTGCTTATTTTCAATTAGGTGTATCTCATCCTTTCTGAGGTAAAAGTTTCCATACTGGTGATCTTTGCATTGCTCTTCTGCAGAATGTCAATAAATATGTTGCCATAGATTTTTTTCTCAAATAAACTTATAAATTTCTGTGTTAAAGCCAATCATGCTTCTGTGTTAGAGAAGATTTTAGAACTTTTAATATAACATACATTGTAATCTTATACATTTTGTAGGACTTTAGCACATTCATTTAACATAAGACCTTTTATTTAAAGAATAATTTAGTATTCAATGACATTTTGAAAAATACTGACATAGGTCATTGTATTGATCAGAATAGTTTGGCTACGCTTCAGTAACAAACCAATCCAAAAACTATAGTGTAAACAAAAGCTTGTTTGTATTTTTTTCTCTTTGATACTACAGGAGAGCTCTGTTTATCCATGATTATTGCTGAGGGAGGCTTCCATTTCAACATACTGCAACATAGTTTGCAATGACAAGGAAAAACAGAGAAAGCTGGAGTGTTGATAGCTAGCAAATAAATGAGTGGTTCCAAAATGACACATGCAACTTTTAGAATTAGATACATGAGCTGGTTATGCCTAAATTCAACAGAAGGGGAAATTTCTCCTCAGCATAATCAGAAGTAGAAGAACGCTGGATATGGGTAAATGTTGGCAATGTTTAATAGGTCTTCTAATGTTGTCTGTAGTATGTTAAATCTCTCTGGATAAAGAGAAGTTTAGGGACTGTATTTTTGTAATACAATGTTAATAAATACAGTATTAATGATAAGTACATTATTGTGAGTTTATTTTGTGCCAAACCTGTATTATGCATTTTCTATGCATTTCTTTTTAAATTTTCACAATAAATTAAAAGAACCGAGCATGGTGGCTGATGACTGTAATCCCAGCAACTTGGGAGGCTGAGGTGGGAAGAGTGCATGAGGCCAATAATTCCAGATGAGCCTGGGCAATATAACAAGACCCCATCTCTAAAAAACAGTCCCTAAAATAATAAGTAATTAAAATATCCTTATAGCATTTAAAAAATATTTATATCATGGATATAGGTAAAGGATGACTGCATGCCTTTTCACAATCACACTAGTGTCTCACATGACTAGCCCAGAGTTCTCTGATTGTCTGAGGTTATATAAATTTTATTTTATTTACTACTGTCTATTGACTGTGTTTTGCAACTCCATAAGCATAGATACTGATTCATATAAAACTGATAGTACTACAGATGCCTCATGTCAGATAGCAATGCAAGTGAATTCTTAGTGAGAACAATGCAAATCGAGATTCAAGCATGCTGAAGATTTTACTCCAAAGCTTTTCATTATTTTTTATCGCCCAATAGAGCACCAACCAGTTTCACCTGTGATTTATAAATTTTATTCCAGCACTCTATATTCCTGTGAAAATAAAAACTTTCTTTTTCTCACATTTTTAAAAGTAATCTTATTATCCTTTTGGTTTCTCATAAGATGTTTAATATATTTTGACATTAATTTATTCTATATTTATATGAGAATTATGCTTTTAACTTTTTGAAAAGGGCTCTTCGAAAATTTAAATGCCCTGATGAGCTGAGGCTAAAAGAAGAAGGTATAAAATTGCTAATGTTGTAAGATAAAGATCCTAGAACTGTTCTTGATCTTGAATACTTCTGTGAACCACACATTGGAAGGAGTAGTGCTCATGTAAGGAGAGATAAGATAGAAAACACACAGAGAAGGCAGAGAAGAAGTGGAAAGAGCTGAGCATGGTGGCTCATGCCTATAATCCCAGCAACTTGAGAAGTTGAGGTAGGAGGATTGCCTGAGACCAGTAGTGAGATGGGCCTGGGTAATATAGCAAGACCCTATCTCTAAAAAATCGTTTTTCAAAAAATTAGCCAGGTGCACGCCTGTAATCTGATAGCTTGAACCCAAAGACTCAAGGCTGCAGTGAGCTATGATCACGCCTGTGAATAGACACTGCAATCTACCTTGGATGATAGATCGAGACCCCATCTCAAAAAACGGAAAGAGTCTTGACATTTTTCAAATAATTGATTCTACTCTTTTTGGAAATTCAGATCCAATGTTTGACTTTCACTAGACAGCCTAGAATCATTATCATAAATTAAGCGTGTCTTAAAGTAAAGTAAATGATTTTATTTGGTTACTTATTTGTAATGCCACCTAAAATACAAAAAACATTAAGGTTTTTCAACTAAAATATACATCAAAATATGTAGATAAGTGAGTGTAAGTGCAATGGATCCAAAGAAGGATTCTGCATAATGGATTGACAAACACTAGCCATTTTGTTCATTCCTATTGTCTCTAGAGCACATGCTAGAGACCCATAGGAACTGGAGGCTTAAAGTGAATGGTATAGACATTACTTTACCAACCCACATATAACAAGTGCCTGAAGTGTGGAAGCCCTGCTCTTGGGGCTTGACAAATATCAATGAACTCAGCTGACAAAAATCTCTCTCCTCACAAGAAGCTTATATTTTGGTAAGGCGTTGCTCTTAGTAAAGCTTGTTCTCTTTACTGTGGCTTGCTTTGCCTGCCCTCAGATATACGTGAGAGAGTACTAGATTACCACCAACTGGAAAGACATTCAGAAACTGGGAGTAAAGTCGATGTGATGGTTAATTTTAGGCATCAACTTGACTGGATTAAGAGATACTTAGACAACTGGTAAAGTATTATTTTGAGGTATGTTTGTGAGGGTGTTTCTGGAGGAGATTGGTATGTGAGTTGGTGAACCGAGGGGAGAAGATCTGCCTTCAATATGGGTGGGCACCTTCCAGTCACCTGGTAACCCAGATAGAACAAAAAGGCAGAGGAAAGGTGAATTCATTCTCTCCTGAAGCAGGAACACTCTTTTTCTCCTGCCCTTGGACATCAGAATTACAGGCTCTCCAGCCACTGAGCTCCAAAACTTGCACCAGCCTCTCTGCAACGCCCACCGGGGTTCTTAGGTCTTTGGCCTTGAACTGAGTTACACCACTGGCTTCCCCAGTTGTGATGCTTTTGGACTTGGACTGAGCTACGCTGTCGGCTTCCCTTGATCTCCAGCTTGCAAGTGGCCTATCATGGGACTTCTCAGCCTCCATAATTATGTGAGCCAATTCCCCTAATAAATCCTCTCTCATATATCAATCTTTGTGTAGATCATATTGTTTCTGTCTCTCTGGAGAACTCTGACTAATACAAGGGATGTTCTAAGTCTTCTAACTCAGTACCATTGCTGGGAATCCTTGCCAAGAGGCAAATGAAAATATATCTAAAGAGAAGACTGAGTCCCCAGGCTTAGTATGAAGAAACAGAGCCAAAATAATGGACTCAAATTAAGCAGCAAGATTTTATAAGATTCATTGATTTCAGTTACCAGCAAATGGAATTCCTTCAAATAAAATTGCTCATCAGTAAAGTTTTAAGGATTAAAAAGTTTAAAGCTAATTGATGCAATTTATATTATTTTTGAATGATTGATATTCTATAGAAGCATCCTGAATTTACTGAAAGCTTTAATTAAAATATGTACATGATTCATATCTTTAGGAGCTTATAATTAGGCTATGTAAAGTTGTGAGGAAATAAATAATGGTACAGAGTAGAAGAGAAAAAAAAGTCCAGAGGGATGAGCAAAGTCGTAGATACTGCAACTGCCAAACAGCCCAGATTTGCTCTAAGCCTGTATCTATACACTTGACATTCAGATTAAAATCAAATCCCACTTTAATGAAATAATTTTATCATCAGTTTCTGTCTTTCCTTATTCAGTAGCTAGCTGGTAATAGCAATATGTTAATAATCTACGTTCAAAGCAAACTTTGAAATAAGGAGTTGTAAAATATAACTTTACTCATGCATCATTACCTTTTTATTAAGCAGATTTTTTAAAAAATCTGTGTCTATTCTTTCTACTATGATTGTATTAGTAAGATAGTCAATGCCTTAGTATCCTGTGGAAAAGATAAGCAAATCCAAGGAAAACAAAAAGGAGAAAGGAATATCTAATTCATAGAATCTCAGAGTGTAGAGGGAAGAGGAAATTTAAATATAGTTTAAATCAACTCCTCTCATTATTAAGATATATATATATATATAAGTAAAGCCCAGATAGATTGGACACATGCATAGAGACAGCAATAGACACAGATATTCGAAGAGTAGAAACTGGAACAGGAGCCAGAAAGACCAGTACAGTCTCACAATTGAAGAAGATACACATACAAACACTCTTAAACTTGTAGAGATGTGCACGCACACACCCACAGACACACACACACACACACTCGCAAACAGATACAAACTCTCTCACACATACAGAGATAAATACACAAACGTGGAAGCTCTTTTTTTTTTTTTTTCAATTTTTTTTTTATTATACTTTAAGTTTTAGGGTACATGTGCACATTGTGCAGGTTAGTTACATATGTATACATGTGCCACGCTGGTGCGCAGCACCCACTAACTCGTCATCTAGCATTAGGTATATCTCCCGATGCTATCCCTCCCCCCTCCCCCCACCCCACGACAGTCCCCAGAGTGTGATATTCCCCTTCCTGTGTCCATGTGATCTCATTGTTCAATTCCCACCTATGAGTGAGAATACGCGGTGTTTGGTTTTTTGTTCTTGCGATAGTTTACTGAGAATGATGATTTCCAATTTCATCCATGTCCCTACAAAGGGCATGAACTCATCATTTTTTATGGCTGCATAGTATTCCATGGTGTATATGTGCCACATTTTCTTAATCCAGTCTATCCTTGTTGGACATTTGGGTTGATTCCAAGTCTTTGCTATTGTGAATAATGCCGCAATAAACATACGTGTACATGTGTCTTTATAGCAGCATGATTTATAGTCCTTTGGGTATATACCCAGTAATGGGGTGGCTGGGTCAAATGGTATTTCCAGTTCTAGATCCCTGAGGAATCGCCACACTGACTTCCACAATGGTTGAACTAGCTTACAGTCCCACCAACAGTGTAAAAGTGTTCCTATTTCTCCACATCCTCTCCAACACCTGTTGTTTCCTGACTTTTTAATGATTGCCATTCTAACTGGTGTGAGATGGTATCTCATTGTGGTTTTGGTTTGCATTTCTCTGATGGCCAGTGATGATGAACATTTTTTCATGTGTTTTTTGGCTGCATAAATGTCTTCTTTTGAGAAGTGTCTGCTCATGTCCTTCGCCCACTTTTTGATGGGGTTGTTTGTTTTTTTCTTGTAAATTTGTTGGAGTTCATCGTAGATTCTGGATATTAGCCCTTTGTCAGATGAGTAGGTTGCAAAAATTTTCTCCCATTTTGTAGGTTGCCTGTTCACTCTGATGGTAGTTTCTTTTGCTGTGCAGAAGCTCTTTAGTTTAATTAGATCCCATTTGTCAATTTTGTCTTTTGTTGCCATTGCTTTTGGTGTTTTAGACATGAAGTCCTTGCTCATGCCTATGTCCTGAATGGTAATGCCTAGGTTTTCTTCTAGGGTTTTTATGGTTTTAGGTCTAACGTTTAAGTCTTTAATCCATCTTGGATTGATTTTTGTATAAGGTGTAAGGAAGGGATCCAGTTTCAGCTTTCTACATATGGCTAGCCAGTTTTCCCAGCACCACTTATTAAATAGGGAATCCTTTCCCCATTGCTTGTTTTTGTCAGGTTTGTCAAAGATCAGATAGTTGTAGATATGTGGTGTTATTTCTGAGGGCTCTGTTCTGTTCCGTTGATCTATATCTCTGTTTTGATACCAGTACCATGCTGTTTTGGTTACTGTAGCCTTGTAGTATAGTTTGAAGTCAGGTAGTGTGATGCCTCCAGCTTTGTTCTTTTGGCTTAGGATTGACTTGGCGATGTGGGCTCTTTTTTGTTTCCATATGAACTTTAAAGTAGTTTTTTCCAATTCTGTGAAGAAAGTCATTGGTAGCTTGATGGGGATGGCATTGAATCTATAAATTACCTTGGGCAGTATTGCCATTTTCACAATATTGATTCTTCCTACCCATGAGCATGGAATGTTCTTCCATTTGTTTGTATCCTCTTTTATTTCCTTGAGCAGTGGTTTGTAGTTCTCCTTGAAGAGGTCCTTCACATCCCTTGTAAGTTGGATTCCTAGGTATTTTATTCTCTTTGAAGCAATTATGCATGGGAGTTCACTCATGATTTGGCTCTCTGTTTGTCTGTTGTTGGTGTATAAGAATGCTTGTGATTTTTGTATATTGATTTTGTATCCTGAGACTTTGCTGAAGTTGCTTATCAGCTTAAGGAGATTTTGGGCTGAGACAATGGGGTTTTCTAGATATACAATCATGTCCTCTGCAAACAGGGACAATTTGACTTCCTCTTTTCCTAATAGAATAACCTTTATTTCCTTCTTCTGCCTAATTGCCCTGGCCAGAACATCCAACACTATGTTGAATAGGAGTGGTGAAAGAGGGCATCCCTGTCTTGTGCCAGTTTTCAAAGGGAATGCTTCCAGTTTTTGCCCATTCAGTATGATATTGGCTGTGGGTTTGTCATAGATAGCTCTTATTATTTTGAAATACGTCCCATCAATACTTAATTTATTGAGAGTTTTTAGCATGAAGGGTTGTTGAATTTCGTCAAAGGCTTTTTCTGCATCTATTGAGATAATCATGTGGTTTTTGTCTTTGGCTCCGTTTATATGCTGGATTCCATTTATTGATTTGCGTATATTGAACCAGCCTTGCATCCCAGGGATGAAGCCCACTTGATCATGGTGGATAAGCTTTTTGATGTGCTGCTGGATTCTGTTTGCCAGTATTTTATTGAGGATTTTTTGCATCAATGTTCATCAAGGATATTGGTCTAAAATTCTCTTTTTTTGTTGTGTCTCTGCCTGGCTTTGGTATCAGAATGATGCTGGCCTCATAAAATGAGTTAGGGAGGATTCCCTCTTTTTCTATTGATTGGAATAGTTTCAGAAGGAATGGTACCAGTTCCTCCTTGTACCTCTGGTAGAATTCGGCTGTGAATCCATCTGGTCCTGGGCTCTTTTTGGTTGGTAAGCTATTGATTATTGCCACAATTTCAGCTCCTGTTATTGGTCTATTCAAAGATTCAACTTCTTCCTGGTTTTGTCTTGGGAGAGTGTATGTGTCCAGGAATTTATCCATTTCTTCTAGATTTTCTAGTTTATTTGCATAGAGGTGTTTGTAGTATTCTCTGATGGTAGTTTGTATTTCTGTGGGATCAGTGGTGATATCCCCTTTATCAATTTTTATTGTATCTATTTGATTCTTCTCTCTTTTTTTCTTTATTAGTCTTGCTAGTGGTCCATCAATTTTGTTGATCCTTTCCAAAAACCAGCTCCTGGATTCATTAATTTTTTGAAGGGTTTTTTGTGTCTCTATTTCCTTCAGTTCTGTTCTGATTTTAGTTATTTCTTGCCTTCTGCTAGCTTTTGAATGTGTTTGTTCTTGCTTTTCTAGTTCTTTTAATTGTGATGTTAGGGTGTCAATTTTGGATCTTTCCTGCTTTCTCTTGTGGGCATTTAGTGCTATAAATTTCCCTCTACACAGTGCTTTGAATGCATCCCAGAGATTCTGGTATGTTGTGTCTTTGTTCTCGTTGGTTTCAAAGAACATCTTTATTTCTGCCTTCATTTCCTTATGTACCCAGTAGTCATTCAGGAGCAGCTTGTTCAGTTTCCATGTAGTTGAGCGGTTTTGAGTGAGATTCTTAATCCTGAGTTCTAGTTTGATTGCACTGTGGTCTGAGAGATAGTTTGTTATAATTTCTGTTCTTTTACATTTGCTGAGGAGAGCTTTACTTCCCAGTATGTGGTCAATTTTGGAATAGGTGTAGTGTGGTGCTGAAAAAAATGTATATTCTGTTAATTTGGGGTGGAGAGTTCTGTAGATGTCTATTAGGTCCGCTTGGTGCAGAGCTGAGTTCAATTCCTGGGTATCCTTGTTGACTTTCTGTCTTGTTGATCTGTCTAATGTTGACAGTGGGGTGTTAAAGTCTCCCATTATTAATATGTGGGAGTCTAAGTCTCTTTGTAGGTCACTCAGGACTTGCTTTATGAATCTGGGTCCTCCCGTATTGGGTGCATATATATTTAGGATAGCTAGCTCTTCTTGTTGAATTGATCCCTTTACCATTATGTAATGGCCTTCTTTGTCTCTTTTAATCTTTGTTGGTTTAAAGTCTGTTTTATCAGAGACTAGGATTGCAACCCCTGCCTTTTTTTGTTTTCCATTTGCTTGGTAGATCTTCCTCCATCCTTTTATTTTGAGCCTATGTGTGTCTCTGCACGTGAGATGGGTTTCCTGAATACACCACACTGATGGGTCTTGACTCTTTATCCAATTTGCCAGTCTGTGTCTTTTAATTGGAGCATTTAGTCCATTTACATTTAAAGTTAATATTGTTATGTGTGAATTTGATCCTGTCATTATGATGTTAGCTGGTTATTTTGCTCGTTAGTTGATGCAGTTTCTTCCTAGTCTCGATGGTCTTTACATTTTGGCATGATTTTGCAGCGGCTGGTACTAGTTGTTCCTTTCCATGTTTAGTGCTTCCTTCAGGAGCTCTTTTAGGGCAGGCCTGGTGGTGACAAAATCTCTCAGCATTTGCTTGTCTGTAAAGGATTTTATTTCTCCTTCACTTATGAAGCTTAGTTTGTCTGGATATGAAATTCTGGGTTGAAAATTCTTTTCTTTAAGAATGTTGAATATTGGCCCCCACTCTCTTCTGGCTTGTAGGGTTTCTGCCGAGAGATCCGCTGTTAGTCTGATGGGCTTCCCTTTGAGGGTAACCCGACCTTTCTCTCTGGCTGCCCTTAACATTTTTTCCTTCATTTCAACTTTGGTGAATCTGACAATTATGTGTCTTGGAGTTGCTCTTCTCGAGGAGTATCTTTGTGGCGTTCTCTGTATTTCCTGAATCTGAACGTTGGCCTGCCTTGATAGATTGGGGAAGTTCTCCTGGATAATATCCTGCAGAGTGTTTTCCCACTTGGTTCCATTCTCCCCATCACTTTCAGGTACACCAATCAGACGTAGATTTGGTCTTTTCACATAGTCCCATATTTCTTGGAGGCTTTGCTCATTTCTTTTTATTCTTTTTTCTCTAACCTTCCCTTCTCGCTTCATTTCATTCATTTCATCTTCCATTGCTGATACCCTTTCTTCCAGTTGATCGCATTGGCTCCTGTGGCTTCTGCATTCTTCACATAGTTCTCGAGCCTTGGTTTTCAGCTCCATCCCAGCTCCTTTAAGCACTTCGCTGTATTGGTTATTCTAGTTATACATTCTTCCAAATTTTTTTCAAAGTTTTCAACTTCTTTGCCTTTGGTTTGAATGTCCTCCCATAGCTCAGAGTAATTTGATCATCTGAAGCCTTCTTCTCTCAGCTTGTCAAAGTCATTCTCCATCCAGCTTTGTTCCGTTGCTGGTGAGGAGCTGCATTCCTTTGGAGGAGGAGAGGTGCTCTGCTTTTTAGAGTTTCCAGTTTTTCTGTTCTGTTTTCTCCCCATCTTTGTGGTTTTATCTACTTTTGGTCTTTGATGATGGTGATGTACAGATGGGTTTTTGGTGTGGATGTCCTTTCTGTTTGTTAGTTTTCCTTCTAACAGAGAGGACCTCAGCTGCAGGTCTGTTGGAATGCCCTGCCGTGTGAGGTGTCAGTGTGCCCCTGCTGGGGGGTGCCTCCCAGTTAGGCTGCTCGGGGGTCAGGGGTCAGGGACCCACTTGAGGAGGCAGTCTGCCCGTTCTCAGATCTCCAGCTGCGTGCTGGGAGAACTACTGCTCTCTTCAAAGCTGTCAGACAGGGACATTTAAGTCTGCAGAGGTTACTGCTGTCTTTTTGTTTGTCTGTGCCCTGCCCCCAGAGGTGGAGCCTACAGAGGCAGGCAGGCCTCCTTGAGCTGTGGTGGGCTCCACCCAGTTGGAGCTTCCTGGCTGCTTTGTTTACCTAAGCAAGCCTGGGCAATGGCGGGCGCCCCTCCCCCAGCCTCGCTGCCGCCTTACAGTTTGATCTCAGACTGCTGTGCTAGCAATCAGTGAGACTCCCTAGGCGTAGGACCCTCCGAGCCAGGTGCGAGATATAATCTCGTGGTGGTGCGCCGTTTTTTAAGCCAGTCGGAAAAGCGCAGTATTCGGATGGGAGTGACCCGATTTTCCAGGTGCCGTCTGTCACCCCTTTCTTTGACTCGGAAAGGGAACTCCCTGACTCCTTGCGAGACGTGGAAGCTCTTTTTAATGTCTGAGGTAAGGATGCATTATTTTCTAATGTATCAAAATATGAAATTTCAATGATTCAGTAAATATGTACCATATTAAGGACCTACCTTAGGCCAGGCACTTTGTTGAGTACTAGAAAATGCAGTACTTGCCAATGTATTTGTCTTTCAAAATAAACAAAACTTGTATGTATAAAGCAAAGGTTATAATTTTTTTTTTATTTTAACTCAGTGTAGCTGTAATAGCAGCCAACATTTATTGAGCAGGTAACACTTACCGGGCACTACATAAAGCACTTTATAATGTTATCTTATTGAATGCTCCTACCCACCCTCTGGAGTAAGCAGTATTACTATCCTAATTTTTGTTGTTCTTGTTTTATTTTATTTGACTTTAAGTTCTGGGATACATGTGCTGAACGTACAGGTTTGCTACATAGGTATACGTGTGCCATGGTGGTTTGCTGCATCTAACAACTCATCATCTAGGTTTTAAGCTCTGCATTCATTAGGTATTTGTCCTAATGCTCACCCTCCTCTTTCCCCTAACCCTAAGACAGGCCCCCGTGTGTGATGTTACCCTCCCTGTGTCCCTGTGTTTTCACTGTTCAGCTCCCACTTATGAGTGAGAACATGCTGTGTTTGGTTTTCTGTTCCTGCGTTAGTTTGCTGAGGATGATGGTTTCCAGCTACATCCATGTCCCTGCAAAGGACATGAACTCATTCTTTTTTATGGGTGCATAGTGTTCCATGGTTTATATGTGTCACATTTCCTTTATCCAGTCTATGATTGATGGGCATTTGGCTTGGTTCCAAGTCTTTCTATTGTAAATAGTGCTGAAATAAACATACATGTACATGTGTCTCTGTAGTAGAATGATTTATAATCCTTTGGGTATATGCCCAGAAATGGGATTACTGAGTCAAATGGTATTTCTGGTTCTAGATCCTTGAGGAATCACCATACTGTCCTCCACAATGGTTGAACTAATTTACACTCCCACCAACCGTGCAAAAGCTTTCCTATTTCTCTGCATCCTCACCAACATCTGTTGTTTCCAGACTTTTTAATGATCGCCATTCTAACTGGCAGGAGGTGATATCTCATTATGGTTTTGATTTGCATTTCTCTAATGACCAGTGATGACGAGCTTTTTTTCATGTTTGTTGGCCACATACCTGTAATCTTTTGAGAAGTGTCTGTTCATATCCTTTGCCCACTTTTCGATGAGGTTGTTTGTTTTTTTCTTGTAAATTTGTTTAAGTTCCTTGTAGATTCTGGATATTAGACCTTTGTCAGAAGGATAGATTACAAAAATTTTCTCCCATGTTTTAGGTTGCCTGTTCACTCTGATGATATTTTATTTTGCTGAGTAGAAACTCTTTAGTTTGATTAGATCCCATTTGTCAATTTTGGCTTTTGTTGTGATTGCTTTTGGTGTTTTAGTCATGAAGTCTTTGCCCATGCCTATGTCCTGAATGGTGTTGCCTAGGTTTTCTTCCAGGATTTTTACAGTTTTAGGTCTTAAATTTAAGTATTCAATCCATCTTAAGTTAATTTTTGTACAGGGTGTAAGGAAGGGATCCAGTTTCTGTTTTCTGCATATGGGTAGCCAGTTTTCTCAGTACCATTTATTTAGTAGGGAATCTTTTCCCTGTTGCTTGTTTTTGTCAGGTTTGTCCAAGAGCAGATGGTTGCAGATGTGTGGCATTATTTCTGAGGCCTCTGTTCTGTTCCATTGGTCAATATATCTGTTTTGGTACCAGCGCCATGCTGTTTTGGGTACTGTTGCCTTGTAGTATAGTTGAAGTCAGGTAGCATGATGCCTTCAGCTTTGTTCTTTTGCTTAGGATTGTCTTGGCTATAAGGGCCCTTTTTTGGTTTCATATGAAATTTAGAGTAATTTTTTTCTAATTCTGTGAAGAAAGTCAATGGTAGTTTGATGGGAATAGCATTGGATCTATAAATTACTTTGGGCAGTATGGCCGTTTTCATGATATAGATTCTTCCTACCCATGAGCATGAATTTTTTTTCCATCTGTTTGTGTCCTCTCTTATTTCCTTGAGCAGTGATTTGTAGTTCTTGAAGAGTTCCTTCACATCCCTTGTAAGTTGTATTTCTAGGTATTTTATTTTATTTGTTGCAATTGTGGATGAGAGTTCACTCATGATTTGGCTCTCTGCTAGTCTATTATTGATGTGTAGGAATCCTTGTGATTTTTGCACATTGATTTTGTATCCTGAGACTTCGCTGAATTTGCTTATCAGCTTAAGGAGATTTTGGGCTGAGACAATGGGGTTTTCTAAATATACAATCATGTCTTCTGCAAACAGAGACAATTTGACTTCCTCTCTTCCTATTTGAATACCTTGTATTTCTTTCTCTTGCTTGATTGCCCTGGCCAGAGCTTCCAATTCTATGTTGAATAGAAGTGGTGAGAGAGGGCATTCTTTTCTTTTGCCGGTTTTCAATGGGAATGCTTCAGATTTTGCCCATTTGATATGATGTTGGCTGTGGGTTTTTCATAAATAGCTCTTATTATTTTGAGTATGTTCCATCAATACCTAGTTTATTGAGAGTTTTTAGCATGAAGTGGTGTTGTATTTTATTGAAGGCCTTTTCTGAATCTATTGAGATAATCATGTGGTTTTTTGTCATTGGTTCTGTTTATGTGGTGGATTATGTGTATTGATTTGTGTATGTTGAACCAGCCCTGCATCCCAGGGATGAAGCCAACTAAGTTTCATAAGTGAAGGAGAAATAAAATATTTTACAGACAAGCAAATGCTGAGGGATTTTGTCACCACTAGTCCTGGCTTACAAGAGCTCCTGAAGGAAGCACTAAATATGGAAAGGAAAACAGTAACAGCCACTGCAAAACACACCAAAGTATAAAGAACAAGAACACTATGAAGAACTACATCAACTAATTTGCAAAATAATCAGCTAGCATCATGATGACAAGATCAAATTCACACATAACAATATTAACCTTAAATATAAATGGGCTAAATTCCCCAGATAAAAGTCAAAGACTGGCAAATTGGATGAATAGTCACAACTCATCGGTGTGCTGTATTTAGGAGACCCAACCCATGTGCAAAGACACACACAGGCTCAAAATAAAGGGATGGAAATGGAAAGCAAATGGAAATGGAAATGGAAACCAAAAAAGCAGGGATTGCAATCCTAGTCTCTGATAAAACAGACTTTAAACCAATAAAGACCAAAACACAAAGAATGGCATCAATGTAACAAAGTAAAGGGATCAATGCAACAAGAAGAGCTAACTGTTGTAAATATATATGCACCCAATACAGGAGCAGCCACATCCATAAAGCAAGTTCTTAGAGACCTACAAAGAGATTTAGACTCTAGTGACCTACAAAGAGACTTAGACTCCCAGACAACAATAATGGGAGACATTAACACCCCACTGTCAATATTAGACAGATTGAGACAGAAAATTAACAAGGATATTCAGGACTTGAACTGACCTCTGGACCAAGCAGACCTAATAGATATCTACATAACACTCCACCACAAATCAACAGAATATATATTCTTCTCAGCACTGCATAGCACTTATTCTAAAATTGACCACATAATTGGAAGTAGCACACTCCTCAGCAAATATAAAATAATGGAAATCATAACAAACAGCCTCTCAGACCACATGCAACCAAGTTACAACTCAGGACTAAGAAACGCACTATAAACTACACAACTACATGGAAACTGAACAACCTGCTCCTGAATGACCACTGTGTAAATAACAAAATTAGACAGAAATAATGAAGTTCTTTGAAATCAATGAGAACAAAGAGACAATGTACCAGAATCTCTTGGACACAGCTAAAGCAGTGTTTAGAGGGAAATTTATAGCAGTAAATGCCCACATCAGAAAGCACGAAACATCTTAAATCAACACCCTAACATCACAATTAAAAGAACTAGAGAAGCAAGAGCAAACAAATTCAAAAGCTAGAAGAAGACAAGAAATAACTAAAGTCAGAGCAGAATTGAAGGAGATAGAGACATGAAAAACTTTTCAAAAAATCGATGAATCCAGGAGTTGGTTTACTGAAAAAATTAGAAAAATAGATAAACTGCTAACTAGACTAATAATGAAGAAAAGGGGGAAGAATCAAATAGACACAGTACAAAATGATAAAGTGGATATCACCACTGACCCCACAGAAATACAAACTACCATCAGAGAATACTATAAACACCTCTACACAAATAAACTAGAAAATCTAGAAGAAATGATTAAATTCCTGGACATATACACCCTCCCAATACTAAATCAAGAAGAAGTCAAATCCTGGAACAGACCAATAATAAGTTCTGAAATTGAGGCAGTAATTAATAACCTACCAATGAAAAATAAGCCCAGGACCAGACAGATTCACAGGCAAATTCTACCAGAGGTACAAAGAGGAACTGGTACCATTCCTTCTGAAACTATTCTAAACAATAGAAAAAGAGGGACTCTTCCCTAACTCATTTTATGAGGCCAGCATCATCCTGATTCCAAAACCTGCCAGCATCATCCTGATTCCAAAACCTGGCAGAGATACAACAAAAAAAGAAAATTTCAGGCCAATATTGCTGATGAACATCGATGCAAAAATCCTCAAAACAACACTGGCAAACCAAATCGAGCAGCACATCAAAAAGCTTATCCACCACAATCAAAGTTTATATTAAGTTTACCTGTACTTTAAGGGTATGATTTCTAATTTTGACTAAAGTCTAATTTTAAAGGAATAAAATATATTCTAAAATAATATTTTCAGAAAATTGAAGTTGTCGACATGAGTAACATGCCATGCTAAAATTTCTTTTAGGAAAAGGCAAATTAAGTTAGAGGTTTAACCAGTCTGGCCAACATAGTGAAACCCCGTCTCTACTAAAAATACAAAAAATTAGCCGAGTGTGGTGGTGATGTGCACCTGTAATCCCAGCTACTCGGGAGGCTGAGGCAGGAGAAACACGTGAACCCGGGAGGCAGAGGTGGCAGGGAGCGGAGATCGCGCCACTGCACTCCCGCCTGAGCAACAGAGCGAGACTCCATCTCAGAAAAAAAAAAAAAAAGAACTTCAAAGCAGAAAGAAGTCACCTATGGTCAGAAAAGTGAGACCTACAATTTGACCATGAGCAAGAGAGCAACTGAGATAGAGTAGACAAATGTGCGCTGATATCTGTGGGAAAAAATTGGGAGCTGGGGTTGTGCCAGCGCATAAGGGGTAGTAATAATTAGCAGAGTGATGAGAAAGGTTTTAGAAATTACAGTAGGGTTACATCCTGGAAGGTCTTTGAAGTTATTTTAAATTTTCATTTTAATTATGTGAAGAATCTGAAGGCCTGTGATCTGTGGACTCAGAATCCAAGTGGCTTTAGAACACTTAATCTGGCAGTCATCTGTGGAATAGATCAAAATGGGAGAAACTGGATGCACACAAATGAATTTTATACCTATTGCAAAGGTCCAGATTAATAAATTTTTATGTTATTACTTCTTATGAGTTTCAATGAAAGAGGATGTAATTTAATATAAAATGATACCCTGGTTCACGTAAACTGGATATTTTATAGTAAACTTCTAAACATCAAACATTTAGTGTTTTAGGAATGTCAAAAGCTGTAATAAAAAATCAATGCAATATTAAATCTCCTATTCTACATTATAGCAAACTCATAACTACTATCAACTAAATGCTTTGAAAGTTCTTTAAGGAACATTATAATAGAGTTTTTAATGGGAAAAAAAGAAGGTCAGTTTCACAGCAAGAGAGGTCTCCACCAAATGATAGGAGAAATTTACAGTTCACTGCCTTTTCTATAGTGCATTTTTTGCTTCTATTTCTTACTTGAGTTTGGGACAGATAACAATGGCGGGTGGAGGTAGCAAAGGTCAAATTGCTTTGAAGGTGATGAACTAAATCATTATTGAGAAAAAAGAAATAATAGAAAAGGCATGAGGAGTATCTCCAGGGACAGAAATCTTAAAATAAACTATTTGCAGCTGTACTACACAAAAACTGGATTTCTATTCTCATAATTTTGCAATCAATCCTTGAATATCTACTCTAATTGGGGAAGTAGTGACAAATTCATTTCTAATTCATTTGTATGAGATGACTGACTCAAGGGCACTTGATAATATTCATAGCCTATTGAGATTCTCAGAGGACCGTGTTCTGATGATCTAATACCAGTATTCCAGTACCGATTTTTAGTTCTCTTAGAATGTCCTTGAGAAAACTGCAAAAAGGAGTGAATAAGGCAGACAAAAGAATATTCCATTTTAATTCATTAACTATAGAAAATAGTACATACATGTCAACATCAACTAAAATACCATTTCGCAGGGCTGTCCTGAAATGTGCTACCTAGACAAAGTTGGGGATTAAATTTTCGAATGGAAACAGGTGATCTTCTAAAAACTTACATAAAATAAAATCTAAATCAACTTATTATATGATGAATTATAGGGTATATATGTCGATTCACAATCCAACTTCAGATACCTACAAATTTTACCATTTCCCATATTTAGATCAGTTATATTTGCAGAAAGTAATCTGTAAGGAGGAGTGAGCTCTCTTTCATTTTACATAGATAAGTATATGTATGTTATTCACAAGTCAATTTTCAATTCTGTTGAAAGTTGTGTATTCTAATTTGAGAAAACAATATGTCAATAATTTGCCTAATAATTTTGCCTAATACTTTGCATACAGTTTGAAGAAGTTCAACAATAACCTAAAATCCTCACCAGTCAAACAGTGAAATTTTTTGTCCCAGGCCTATGGCCTTCAGTTGCAGCCAATGCTTCCCAAATGTTAGGAGGGCCTTGTGTTTTGGAGAGCAGATTTTATCTAAACTTGCCTATCTTCCAGTATGGATAACTGAGAAATGAAAATAATTTTGGTCATATTCATAATTACAAAACAATACTGACATCAACACTTAAAGATTTTATTAAACTTCTTTGTTTAAAATAAGCCTTTTGTTAAAAATAAGTAGGTGAAATAAGTCCGTTGTTTTTTAAGCCATGGATAAAAAAGAAAACGACAGATGTTTTAAATTATGTAATCCAAAGTTGTAAATTTACTATGAAGTTTTCCCTAGGATATGAAGCTCTTAAGAATAAACCTGCTCTAACTAATGTAGTGCTTTTTAATGATGTAGTTCTCTTCAAACAAGCTAGCACTGCTTTTCAGAAAGTAATCCAAAAGTGCCAGCTCTCTCATGCACTTGTCTTTCTCTTCTCTCTCTCTCACTCTCTCTCTCTGTCTGTCTCTCTCTCTGAGTTTAGGTTCGTTATCAGTTTTGGACATCATCTTTATTTATATCTAGCTTTGTGACATACAGGACAATACCTATCTGGGAATCCTAGAGGAAGGGTAAATATGGGAATTTCACCTCTGAGGGAAAACTCGCCAGTGCCCTTGATGTTGTTATCACTGACTTGCCAAAGTGACTAGTCCTCAAAGCAGTTGGAAGATAGTTGAAAAGTAGAAACCCCACTTTGCAAATGTCAAAGTGAACTTTTTGCACCTTTGATGGGATCCGTATACAGGTCAAATGACATCAGAAGCATTGGGATCTGAAGTAGGAAGCTTTTCCTTCCACCTGGGGGTGTTGCTCTGTCTCCTGAGGGCCTTTCTTGCATAGAGAGGAATGTGTGCCTGGGATTTTTGCAATATCTTTCTTAATCATTGCCACCTTGTGATAATGCAGTTGCATATATGTTTTAATGCAAACTAGAAAAATGCTGGCATTCCATTCATAGTAATAATATAAAGTTCAATTTTAAGATATGCAAAAATAGCAATAATATGAAGAAAAATATTAAGTAAATAAAAGTGCAAGTGGTATAAAGACATGGTAAAAATGTCATTGTTTTACCTGAAGAACTGAAATTTGGAAAAGTGATGCAACATTTTTTCAACTGAGGTTTTTCTTCTGGTCCACCACGTTATTCAAATAACTCCTTCTATTTTCTTGATAGTGGTTTCCTCTCTTTACCTGTGCTTCTCAAGAAGTATGCTCCTCTTCTCATTATCCTATATGTGGTGCCAAAACAAAATATAACAAAACAAAAAAGAAACAAAAAACATTGACCCTATGCTATGGTCTGAATATGTGTGTCCCCCTAAAATTCATATGTTGAAAATGGATCCCCAATGTGATGGTATTAAGAGGCAGGGCTTTTGGGAGGTGATTAGGTCATAAAGGCAGAGCTCTCATGAGTAAGATTGGTGCTCTTATAGAAGAGGCTCAAAGGAGCTTGTTTGCTCCTTTGTGAGGAGCATGTTTGCACCATGTGAGGACAGAGTTAGAAAGTGCCATGTATGAAAGAGGAGATGACCTCTCAACAGACATTGCATCTGCCAGTGCTTTGATCTTAGACTTTCCAGGCTCCATAACTGTGACAAACAAATTTTCTCTTTATAAATGCATCAATTTATGGCATTTTGTTGTAGAACTCCAAACAGACTAAGACACTCTATTTTCTCAAAACATATGAATTAATTTTCCCTTTGTGATACCTGCTATTCACTTTAAGCACCTGTTATCTCTCTCTCAGACCAATCCTCTATTCCTCTGCTGGTCCCTGAAAGTCCAGGCATTTCTCTATTTCAGACTTCAAGTCATCTGTTTTCACAAAAGTACTTAATAGTACAGATCAAATAGTACAGAGAACATTTGAAATATTTTTACCTGGTCCTTACCATGTGTGTATCAATTCTCTGGACATCCCCCAAACCTTCATCTCCAACCATACTTAGTACTTGCTTCTCAAAACATCCGATGCACTTTCATAACTTTGCTTCTACATGAAATGCACAATCTCTTTCTTCTGTCTGGTGCACCCTGACTTTTTCTTCATGACTACCTCTTTAAAGAATTCATTCATGATTGTCTAGGTCATAATATGTACTGTCTTCTTAGCCTCCACAGCACTGTAAGTAATTTTTCACATCCATTTTTCATTTACATTGAATTTATTTAGATTCCCTTTGCTTTAATATTTTTAATTTTCCTTTTTTATTTTTTGTGAGTATGTAGTAGGTATATATATTTATGGGTACATGAGATGTTTTGATACAAGCATGCAAAGTGAAATAAGCACATCATGGAGAATGGGGTATCCATCCTCCCAAGCACTTATCCTTTGAGTTATGAACAATCCAATTACACTCTTTAAGTTATTTTAAAACATTCAATTAGTTATTATTGACTATAGTCACCTATTGTGCTATATCTTATTCAAGTATATATTATTTACTCATTCATGAATAGTATGTCTTATTCATTCTTTCTATTTTTTGTACCCATTAACTATCCCCACCTGACCCCACCCCCCACTACCGTTCCCAGCATCTGATCACTATCCTTCTACTCTTTATCTCCATGAGTTTAATTGTTTTAATTTTTAGATCCCACAAATAAGTGAGAAGATGCGATATTTTTCTATGCCTGGCTTATTTCACTTAACATAATGATCTCCAGTTCCTTCCATGCTGTTGCCAATGATTGGATCTAATTATATTTTTATGGCTGAATAGTACTCCATTGTGTATATGTACCACATTTTCTTTATCCATTTATCTGTTGATGGACACTTAGGTTGCTTTCAAATCTTAGCTATTGCAAACAGTGCTTCAACACATATAGAAATGCAGATGTCTCTTCAATATACTGATTTCCCTTCTTTCAGTTATATACCCAGTGGTGGGATTTCTGGATAATATGGTAGCTCAATTTTTAGTTGTTTGAGGAACCTCCAAACTGTTCTCCATAGTGCTTGCACCAATTTACATTCCTCCCAGCAGTGTACAAGTGTTCCCTTTTCTCCATGTACTTGCCAACATTTGTTAATGCCTGTCTTTTGGATATAAGCCATTTTTATCTTTGGTGACATGATATCTCTTTATAGTTTTGATTTGCATTTCTCTGTTGATCAGTGATGTTGAGCACGTTTTCATATGCCTGTTTGTTATTTGTATGCCTTCTTCTGAGAAATGTCTATTCAAATCTTTTGCCCAAATTTTGGCCAAATTCTTAGATTTTCTTTTTTTCTATAGAGTTGTTTGAGTTCCTTATATCTTCTGGTTACGAATCTCTTGTCAGAAGGGTATTTTGCAAATATTTTCTCTCATTCTCTGGGTTGTCTCTTCACTTTGTTGATTGTATTCTTTGCTGTGCAGAAGCTTTTTGACTAGATGTGATTCCATTTGTCTATTTTTGCTTTGGTTGCCTGTGTTTGTTGGGTATTGCTCAAGAAATCTTTGCCCAGACCTATGTCCTGGAGATTTGCCCCAATGTTTTCTAGGAGTAGTTTTATAATTTGAGGCCTAATATTTAAGTCTTTAGTCCATTTTTATTTGATTTTTGAAAACGGTGAGTTAGTTATCTAGTTACATTCCTCTGTGCATGGATATTCACTTTCTGCAGTACCATTTATTAAGGAGACTGTCTTTTCCACATTGTATGTTCTTGACACCTTTGTCAAAAATAGTTTCACTGTAGGTGTGTGTATTTTTTTCTGAGTTCTGTATTCTGTTCCATTGGTCTGTGTGTCTGTTTTTATGCCAGTACCACACTTTTGGTTACTACAGTTCTGTAGTATAATTTGAAGCCTGGTAATGTGATTCTTCCAGTTTTGTTCTTTTTGCTCAGAATATCTTTAGCTATTCTGGGTCTTTTGTGATTCCGTATAAATTTTAGAATTGTTTTTTCTATGTCTGTGAAAAAATGCCATTGGTATTTTGATAGGGATTGCATTTAATCTATAGATTGCTTTGAGCAATATGGACTTTTTAACAGTACTGATTCTTTAAATCCATGAACATGAAATATTTTTTCATTTTTTGGAGCTCTCTTCAATTCCTTTAATCAGTGTTTTATAGTTTAGATTATACAGATCTTTTACTTCTTTGGTTAATTCCTTTGGTTAAACTTCTTTGGTTAATTCTTTGGTATTTAATTTTATGTGGGACTACTGTAACTGGATTATTTTTATTTCTTTTTCAGATCATTCATTGTTTGTATACAGAAATGCTACTGTTTTGGGGTTGATTTTGTATTCTGCAAATTTGCTTTATTTGTTTATCAATTCTAACAGATTTCCTGTGTAGTCTTTAGGCTTTTCCAAATATAAGATCATATCATCTGCAAACAAGGATAATTTGACTACTTCCTTTCTAAGTAGATGTCCTTTATATCCTTCTTTTGTCTGATTTGCTTTAGCTAGGATTCCACTAATATGTCGAATAATACTGGTGACAGTGGGCATTCTTGTTGCATTCCAGATCTTAGAGGTAAGCCTTTCAGTTTTTCACATTCACTATGATACTAACTGTGGGTCTGTCATATATGAATTTTATTATTTTGAGGTATGTTTCATCTATTCTCAGTGTTCTGAGGGTTTTTATCATGAAGGGATGTTGAATTTTATCAAATACTCTTTCAGAAATGATTGAAAATATCATATGGTTTTTAGTCTTTATTCTGTTGATATAGTATACATTGATTAGTATATGCTGAATCACCTTTGCATCTCAGGGATCAATGCGACTTGCTCATGATAAATGATCTTTCTAATGTGTTGTTGAAATCAGTTTGCTAGTATTTTGTTGATGGTTTTTACTTCAATATTTATCAGAGACATTGGCTTGTCATTTGTGTGTGTCAGGGGTGTGTGTGTGTCTGGTTTTGGTATCAGGGTAATATTGGCCTTGTGGAATGGGTTTGGAAGTATCCCTCCTCCTGTATTTTTTGGAATAGCTTGGGTAAGGTTAGTATTAGTTTTTCTTTGAATGTTTGCTAGAATTCAGAATGATGTTATTGGATCTTTCCTGGGAGAATTGTTATTACAGCTTCGACCCCATTACTTCTTATTAGTCTGTTGAGGTTTTGAATTTCTTCCTGGCTTAGTCTTGGTAGGTTGTATGTACCTAGGAATTTGTTCATTTCTTCCAAATTTTCAAATTTATTGACATATCATTGTTCATATTAGCCACTAATGATTCTTTGAATTTCTGTGGTCTCAGTTGTAATGTCTCCTTTTTCATATCTGATTAATTTATTTGAATCTTCTCTCTTGCTCTTTTTTTTTTTTTTTTTTTGCTTAGTCTAGCTAAGGGTTTTTTCAATTTTGTATAACTTTTGAAAAGACCAACATTTTGTCTCATTGATACTTTGTATTCCTTCTTCATTTCAATTTCATTTATTTCTGCTCTATCTTTATCACTTCTTTTCTTCTACTAATATTGGGTTTGATTTGCTCTGGCTTTTCTAGTTCTTCAGGATGCATCATTAGATTGTTTATTAGAAGTTTTTCCCCCGGTTTTTTTTTTTTTTTTTTTTTGATGTAGACACTTACAGCTATAAAATTGCCTCTTAGTACTGCTTTTGCTATAGTCCATAGATTTTAGTATGTTGTGCTTGCAATACCATTTGTTTCTAGACATTTTTCAATTTCCTTCTTAATTTATTTATTGACCTTGTCAATTTTATTGACTGGTCATTCAGGAGCATATTGTTTAATTTCCATTCATTTGTGTAGTTTCAAGTATTCCTCTTGTTATTAATTTCTAGTTTTATTCCATTTTGGTCAGGGAAGGTGTTTGTTATTATTTCCGTTTTTTGAATGCTTTAAGAGTTATTTTGTAACCTAGCATATGGTTTATCCTTGAGAATGATCCAAATGCTAAGGAGAAGAATGTTATTCTGCAGCTCTTGCATGAAATGTTTTTTTAAGTATCTATTAGGTCCATTTGGTCTAGAGTACAGATTAAGTCTAATGTTTCTTTGTTGATTTTCTGTCTGGAATATCTTTCCAATGCTGAAAGTGGGGTGTTGAAGTCTCCAGCTATTATTGTATTGTAGCCTTTAGCTCTAATCATATTTTCTTTATATATCTGGATGCTCCAGTGTTGGGTGCATATATATTTAAAATTCTTAAATCCTCTTGATGAATTGACCTCTTTATCATTATGTGGTGACTGTCTTTGTCCCTTCTGTTAGTTTTTGTCTTAAAATCTACTTTGTCTGATATAAGTATAGAGACTCCTGCTTTTATTTTGGTTTCCATTGGCATAGATTATCTTTTCCCATTTTTTTTATTTTCAGTCTATGTGTGTCTTTGTATGTTATAGGTGGAGTGCATTTCTTGTAGGCAACAGAACAATAGGTCTCTTTTTTAATCCATTCAGTCTGTCTTTTGATTGGAGAGCTTAGTCCATTTACATTCAATGTTATTATTGATGAGTAAGGACTTACTTTTGCCATTCTGTTATTTATTTTCTGGATGTTTTGTAGTCTTCTCTTCCTTTTATGTTTCCTTCCTGTAGGGAAGGTGATCTCTGGCAATATGATTTAGTTTCTTCCTTTTTATTTTTTGTGTGTTCATTGTATATTTTTTGGTTTGAGTTTCCCATGAGGCTTGCAAATACTATCTTATAACCCATTATTTTGACCTGATAACAACTGAACATTATTTGCATAAACAAGCAAACAAGCAAAAAAGTAAACTAATAAAAACTCTATGCCTTAACATTGTCCCCCAGATTCTTAACTTTTTGTTGTTTATATTTCTATCTTATTGTACAGAATATGTCTTGAAAAGTTATTGTAGTTATTAATTTTGATTGGTTCATTGTTTAGTCTTTGTTATTAGGATAAATGTAGTTTACACACAGCAGTTACAGTGTTATAATGTTCTGTGTTTTTCTCTGTGCTATTACCAGTGAGCTTTGTATATTTGGGTGATTATTTATTGCTCATTAATGTCATTTTCTTTCTGATTGAAGTACTCCTTTTAGCAATCCTTGTAGTACAGGTCTAGCTAGTATTAACTAAATCCTTCAGCTTTTGTTTGTCTGGGAAAGTCTTTATTTCCCCTTCGTGTTTGAAGGATATATTTGCTGCATATACTATTCTAAGGTGAAAGGTTTGTTTGTTTGTTTGTTTGTTTGTTTGTTTTCAACACTTTAAATATGTCATGTCATTATTCCTGGCTTGTAAGCTTTCCACTGAAAAGTCTGCTGTCAGGCATCATGGAGCTTCATAGTATGTTATTTGTTTCTTTTCTTTTGCTGCTTTTAGGATTATTTATCTTTGACCTTTGGGAATTTAAAAAGTAAATGCCTTCAGGTAGTATCCTTTGGATTAAATCTGCTTGGTGTTCTATAACCTACTTGTATACTTGTATATTGATGTCTTTCTCTAGGTTTGGGAAGTTCTCTCTCATTATCCCTTTGAAGAAACTTTCTACCTCTATCTCTTTCTTTACCTACTCTTTAAGGCCAATAACTCTTACATTTGCCCTTTTGAGGCTATTTTCTAGATCCTCTATGTGTGCTTCATTGTTTTTTATTCTTTTTCTCCCTCTGACTCTATATTTTCAAATAGCCTGTCTTCAAGCTCACTAATTCTTTATTCTGCTTGATTAATTCTGCTATTAAAGGTCTTTGATGCATTCTTCAGTATGCCGATTGTATTTTTCCCCTCCAGAATTTCTGCTTGATTCTTTTTTTTATTTCAATCACTTTGTTAAATTTATCTGATATAATTCTGAAATTTTTCTGTGTGTTATCTTTAATTTCTTTGAATTTTTCTCAACACAGCTATTTTGAATTATCTACTTGAAAGGCCACAGATCTCTGTTTCTCCAAGATTGTTTCTGTTGCCTTGTTTAGTTAAGCGAGGTCATGTTTTCCTGGATGGTTCTGATGCCAGTAGATGTTCTCTGGTGTCTTGGCATTGAAGAGTTGGGTATTTATTACAGTCCTTGCTATCTGGGCTTATTTTTAGCATCTTTCTTGGGAAGGCTTTTCCAATGTTTGAAAGGACTTGGGTGTTATCTGTATATATAATAAGCTGTATCTACTTTAGGGAGCACCCCAAACTCAGTAATGCTGTGGATCTTATGGATTTATACAAATATCCCCTTGATGATTTTGGACAAGTTCCAGGAGAATTCTCTGGACTACCAGGCAGAGATTCTTTGTTCTCTTCCCTTTCTCCCAGATTCTCACTCTCTCTTTATGAGCCACTTAAAGCTGGCAGTAAAGTGACACAGGCACCCCTGTGGCTACCACCACTATCACTGCACTGAGACAGGCCTGAAGCCAGCACAGCACTGAGTATCACCCAAGTTCTGCTGTAACCACTCCATGGCTACTGCTTATATTAGCTCAAGGCCCTGGGGCTCTACAATCAGCAGGTGGCAAAGCCAGCCAGGTCTGTGTACTTCCCTTTGGGTTGGTGAGGTCCTCAAGCCCATGGGTAGGTCCAAAGTTGCTGGCCAGAAGTCAGATACAAGAGTCAAAAACCTTAAAATTTACCTGGTATTCTGTTGTACTGCATCTGAGCTGGCACTGAAACCACAAGATGGAGTCCTTCCCATTCATCCCTCTCCTTTCCAAAGGCAAAGGAGCTTCACCTCTTAGCCACCACCACCCCAGGCCATGAGTCATACACCAGACTACCAGCCAATGTTCTTTTAAGGCCCAAGGGCTCTTAAATCCCCTTGTGTTGAATGCTGCCTTGCCTGGAGCTCGCCCTTCAGGAAAGTGGGCTCCCCTCTGGCCCAGGCCAGGTCCGGAAAAGCTGTCCAAGAGTCAAGCCCTGGAATCAAGGACCCCAAGGGTCCACTTGGTGCTCTGCCTTCCGAGGTCATGCTGATACTTAAGGTGCAAGTCAAAGACCCCATTTACTTTTCCGTCTGTTCTTCTCAAGCAGAAGGAGTTTTGCCCCATAACCACCCCACCTGGTAATGTGCTGAGTCACAACTGAAGCCAGCAAGTCTCAGAGGTGCATCCAAATCCCTCAATGTAGTACCTGAGTATCACTGCTGATTATTTGGGGCCCAAGGGCTCTTCAGTTGGCAGGTGATAAATGCTGCCAGGACTGGGTTCTTTGCTTCAAGGCAGCAGGTTCCCTTCTAACCCACTGTGTGTCTAGAAATGTCATCTGGGAGCTAGGGTCTGGAACGGGGGCCTCACAACTCTGTGTTGTGCCCTATCCTGCTGTGGTTAAGCTGGTATCCAAGATGCAAGACAAAGTCTTCCCCCCTCTTCCCTCTTTTCTTCTCAAGCAGAAGGAAGGGGGTCTCTTTTGGAGCCACGAGCTGTGCAAACTGGATTTAGGGGAGGAATGATGCCCTCACCCACTTGGCTGTCCTAGTTAGTGTCTCAGTAAGCTGCATGCTCTCTCAGTCCACTGTCTCTGGGCCTAGTTTAGCACTAGGTCTCACCCAAGAGTTGCAGTCTTTATGGCCTAGACAGTCATTCAAATTTACTTGGAAACACAGAGTGCTATAGCCCTTGGTGGCAAGGTTTGCAGGCACTCAAGTTCAAACTACTGGGATCGGTAATTCCTCTCTGTCTACGGTCAGTTTCAATGCTCCCGGTTTTCCTTTCTGCTCTAATAGGACACCACCGAGTTCAGTGTTTCAAAATTGCTATGTTCGTTCTCCCTCAGTGCTCAAGAGACACTCTCTGCAAGCTGTGGCTGCCTGGTGTTGGGGAGGTGTGGCATTGGCAATCACAACTGTGTTTGCTATCTATTCAGTGCCTCTTTCAGTGATAGGAAGGTAAAACCAGGTACTCTGTGTGCTCACCTGATTTTTGTTTTTTATGAAGGTGTTTTTTTATGTGCAGATAGTTGTTAACTTGGTGTCCTTATGCAGGGGAAAATCGAGGGAGCCTTCTATTCTGCCATTTTGCTCTGAATCCCCCCTAGATTCCATTTGTTTTTAGAAAAGCCTGTCATTTTTAATAAAGTTTAAATGTGCACTTTTAAATCGACATTCACATTTCTCCACTTTTTCATACTATTTTCACTCCAAACTTACCTTGTTTTATCCTACTCTTTGTCATTTCTTTCAGACTCAGAATAATTCAGGCATAATTTTTCATTGTTTTTCCTTCCAGATGTTTGAGGAAAGGAGGTGCCATTATGCTGAGAATGAATGTAGTCAAATTATTTTGTGATTATACAGATCTGGTTTTGGATTTTTATCCAGTGCTGCCTGGCTGTGTGAACTTGGTCACCATTCATATCTATTTCAGAGAGAATTGGTTACCATTCATATCAATTTCAAATGAGAATTCCCTTGTTTATAAATAGTTATAATAATACTCACCATTCAGGATTTATTTTATTTTATTTATTTATTTCGAGACAGGTCTCTGTTACCCAGGCTGGAGTGCAGTGGCAAAATGATGGCTCATTGCAGCTTCAACCTCCTGGGCTCAGCAGATTCTCCAACCTCAGCCTCTTGAGTAGCTGAGACCACAGCACGTGTCACCACACCAAGCTACTTTTTTTTTTTAAATTTTTTTGTAGCAATGGAGTTTCCTTACGTTGCCTAGGCTGGTCTCGAACTCCTGTGCTAAAAAGGTCCTGCTGCCTTAGCCCCCCAAATTGCTCAAATTACAGATGGGAGCTGCTGTGCCTGGCACATTATTTGGGATTTTTAAAAGATGTATGGATTAATGGATATTAAATGCTCAGCTAGTAATAGGCATTAGAGTATATTACTTCCTTTTGGTTTCCTCTTGTGTATGTCTCAATACAAGTAAAGAAATAGGCAAAGAATATAAACCATTTAGAGTAACATCTCTACACTGGACTTTAATTACAGCCTTTAGAATTTTTTTATGATTCATACTCTATGATGTTAATATCCTAAGGGTTTTGCCTGTGAGAAACAGGGTGGTACAGTGAAAGAGACTTGAGTTCTAATCCCAGCTGCATCACTCCCTTGTTGTGTGACTCAAGGCAAGTTAATTAAATGCTCTGGGTTTCAGTTTACATATCTATAAAAAAAATGAGTGTAAGAATGCTTACTCCTCAAAGGACTGTTTAAGGTTTAAATAAGATTGTGTTTGATGTATAGTTATGTAAGTATAAATGATGATCTGGGAGAACATAGACCTAAGGTTAAGCTGTTTCACAAAGTAGAATAATATGGCATTCAGACTGTCACTATATTTTATAGAATAACCTAATCACTCCTAGTGGAAGGCTCTACACTCTACTTCCCTCTGTAATGTGCTCATCTTGTCAGCACAGTCAACACAAACAAAAAGTTAGCTGAATCAACATTTTTTACAATCTTATACACTCTTTTCTCTTCATTCTGTTTTTATTTATTCTGTTCTTCTTGCCCCTTGTGAATATATATATTTCTCTATGTATATACTTTTTATTTCTCTCTTTTATTATTCCCATGGTTCACAACTCTGGCTATGTATCAGAATCATCTGAAGAGCTCTAGAGAAAATATGAATGCCTAAGTTGCACTCCAGATCAATTGGGTCAGAATCTCACAATTGTTCTCAAACTTTATTATGCATCAGGATCATCTGGAGTAAGACTCCAATATAAGCACTTTAAAAAAAGTTCTCACAAGATTCTGATGCATACCAATGGTTGAAAACCCCTGTTATGCTTTCCTTGACTTTAAAAGTTACTCATTATTACTTTTTTTTTTTTTTTTTTTTTGGCAGTCCCACCATTTTCAACCCATAAGCCCGGACTTGTTACTTTTGGTTGTCAAGATAGTAGGATTAAGCTCGTTGTCTGTCAAGCAACCCAATCATCTATAGATTATTTTTACATTCATTCAACACTTACAATTGAGATACATTCCTTGCTATGAAGGATTTCCAGGCCTAGTACAAGAAGTAACAAATAAACACAAATTGAAGTATAATATAAATGTGCTTAACCTTTGAGGTGGAAGCTTAAAGAGAAGGCTCATTCTCACTGCATACACCATGCAGTGTTGAACTCAAGTCTCAAATTACAAGTACAAATTTGACAAGTGAGGCATGTAGGGAAGAACATTCTAAAACATATTCTTTGTTTTGTTTTTAATTTTTATTTTCTTAGAAAGATGCAAATTATAGGTACTTAGGTACTTAATTTATTAGAAGAATTTTATCATAAGAGATGCTTGTCACTATGTGATCTAGGCTGACAGTGAGACACTTGGGTGGGGTGTAAGTGGGGAAAGGACAAATACATTTAGTCAAGCTATACTGAAATCTAGTACAGGCTTTAAAGTCAATGTCAGCACAAATCCACATTCTATAACTCAGAATAATCCTTACTTCGCAAAAAGAGCAATAGGACAGAGGTGCAAAAATTTTCATCTAAAAAATTTATCGTTGCTATTTATTGTTGAGCCCCTCTAGTGCCCCCATTGCACTTGGCATCCAGCATTACTTATGCCTGGTCAGTACTAGCCAAGATAGGCTATAAATCAGGCTTCAATCCTGACCTCTGTTGGTGCCACTGAAAGAATAATTAGCACCTGCACCGCAGGCTCAGATTCCCACTTTGCTGCCTGTCTATGCATCATTTCAAGTAACAAACAAACTACTTCTGCTGCCTGCTCTGACCACCTGCCATCCCATTCCTTCATCATTTCTCTAAACATAACCTTTAAAGGTAGTCTAAGATGTGGCAGACAATCTAGCAGCTTTTATTTTGAAATACATAGTTCATGTAGCTTTTCGTTTAAATTCTGAGTGCCTATTTAAGTGATCCTTTGTAATATTGCCTACCTGCTGAATTGTTGCTGCCAGTTCCCATATTTTCGCTATTAACAATTGCTAGTGCTGCCAAGTCCCCTTTTAAATATCTGAAGAGAGTATGCAGTTCAAATACACTTGTTAAAAACACAAGAATGCTTTATTTGTTCGGGTGACTCTAGCACTGATATAAGTAATATCTGCATTGATCCTATCTGATATTTGCAGTGAATATTTAAATCTTTCATCTGCTTTAGTTTCTAATCCCATTTCCCTGAAACATATAACTTGTCTGTGTTTACCAAGTTGGTTCCATCAATAACCTCAAATTGACCTCAACAAATCTACAATATAGAAAAATAATTATATACACCTTTTTTGTAATGCATGCAATGTAAAAATAAATATATTTTGGTTTATATATCCAACATCAAATAGAGTACTTACAAAAATCCAAAATTTTTATACAATCTAGTCTTAATTTACACTTAAAGAAGCCAAGATCCAATACTATTAATAGTGGATCCTCAGTGAAAGAACCAAAATTAAAATGTCAGAGTTTCTGACCTCACATTTAGGAATCTTTTTATTAGTCTTAATTTTCCCAGGGCTTCTTAATAAAACTTCGTAACAATGAGAAAGGTAATGTGTATAACTAAAATAAAATTACAGACTATTAAATTAAAATGTCATCTTTTAAAAATTTTTGAAGTTGTACATGTGCAAAAAAAGTAGTTGATACTTTTGCTATGTCTGTTTATTTGTTAAAGATGCTCTTCCAGAGCTATCATAATTTATTCATTCTGCTTTAATGATGCCATTTTCTTCACTTCTAATTTGACAACAGTATTCACTTGTCTCTTTGGTGGATTATAGACAGCTGCAGAAGAGAGATCCAACTGCATATTGGCAGAAGCTCATAGACATATAAGGCTGTTTTGGGTACAATTGCAGTTTAATTTAGGCTGATGAACAAATACACCAGAGTTTGCTTGTCAGGAATTTGGCCACATATTTTGCTGAATATTTATGTGCTTCTAAATTTCTACAATTCTTAAGAAATATAATTTTTGTCTATTTCACATTTTGTATATTAAAGAGCTTGGAGTTTCCTCATTTCTTTTATAAACTTTCGATTCTAAGGTTACATGGTCCAAGGTAAAGTGTTTACAGATGAGAAAACAGATCCTGAGTGGTTAAGGGATAGTTTCAAAATTACACAGCTAATTCACTGGACATCTAAATTTCAGTATTTCCTGTGTATTCTAACTGCCACCAGACAAAGACTTTTTAGTAGGCATAATTAAGCAAGTATTATGTTTGGAAACTATATATTTTAATATAATTCCTGGCTAAAATAATGTAAACATCATAATTTCTATTTCCCCCTTATTCATTTATCTGACCTCAAATATCATGTAATTTTATAATAAATATGGTGCTCTAACACCAACAAATAATTGTTTTTTTCTCTATTTTGTATAACTGTAGTTAGATATTTACTTATCTAAGAGTCTTAGCATTAGATTAAGTCTGAGAGCTCATCTGTTCCTGTCTCCCTCTAACTTTGTTAATATTCTGCATTATCCTACTGCGTGAGTTAACCAACCTCTCTGAATGCTTTAAGTAGCAACAAGCTCTGTGAGGCAAAATTTCCTTAGCTAGACCACCTTAATAGAACCTGGGATTACTTTATTCAATTAGCATATATTTTTGTCTTACTATGAGCCAGATGATTTGTTAAACACTAAGACAATAAAAGGAGAAATAAGTCATACTTGGAGACATCAGTTGCTCATAGTCTAGAAGAGACAAAAATAATGTTTGCATGCAAATAAGCATAATGCAAATTAAGACTAAGCTTTGTAAAAGCATTTAGTGAAGTATCAAGAGCTAACATTTCCTGAATTTTTTCCTCTGTGCCAAACAATGTCCACGTAAGGGTAATAGGGGCTCAGTGAGGTAGAGACTGTCATCTTCTACATATTATTCATAAAGATGCCAAAGAGCAGAGTGTCAAATACTATATTAAAGCCACACAAAAAGTTGGTGGTGGATCTGGAATTCAAGGTAGATTGTTTCTAAACTAATACTTCCACAATGTAATATCTTACCAATCTTAAAGGAAAAGGAAAATTAATAGAGTCCAACGTGTGTTTAAAAAATTCATGATGTAACAATAAAGTGGACAAAAATTGACAAAAATACCCCTTAGATTATGGACAATAAAAGTATGTCCATTACAATAAGATGACTGTGAGAGAATAAAGCAGGAAATGTGGGCTGCAGCCAGATTACTAAGAATCTAGCATGCCAGCCGAAGGTGTTTGCTATTTATTGAGAAGCTATTGAAATTTTAGAGTGTAAAAAATGACACAATCAGAACAGAGTTTCAGGTAAATTCACTTTGTAGGAGTCTGAGATAATGTTGGATGAAGCCAAAGATGGAAAAGCACATGGGTTCAATGGTGGCAGTGACAATGAGAGTGATTTTTTTTTTTCCATGAGCCAGCATATTTCTCTCCAAGTTTTTGTTATATTCTCGGTTAGGTATCTATCTTCTAGAGTGATACAGGCTATGTGCCCTGATATTTTCTGAGGTTACATGAAAAAATGTATCTTTTGATGTATTCAAATTGCAAGCTATTAAGATTATTTAATACCCTGCTTGCTAAATCTCTCATTCTAGAAACCAAGCATATAAATGAATATATACTTCTAGGTTCCTCTATACAAGTAATATGTACACCAATAGCACCAAGACAGCGGCTATATATCAGATTTATTAATATTTTCAGGATTTATACAAATGTATTAGAAAAAGTTCCTCGATGCATAATTCATAGTAATACATATTTTCACTTGATTAAGTGATTTATGGGAAAGATAGGTGGAGCATTTGTAGTCTGACAATTGGAGTACAGAAAAAAAGTTGTGTGAGATCCAGTAATATGGAAAAATATATAAAAATTGATTATGCCAATTATTAAGGAATTTATAGATTTAGGAGAAAGATAAACATTTACCCTCAATCTATATTGCAAAACTACTTGACATTAGAAACCAAAATCAGTTACAACAAAAAAGATAGTGCTCTAATTTTATAGGTTGTCTGTTTACTTTATCGATAATTCTTTTGTTGTGCATAAGCTCTTTAATTAGGTGACACTCATCATTTTTTGTTTTTGTTGCAAATACTTTTGGAAATAGTCACAAATTATTTGCCAAGGTTGATATCCAGAATGGTATTTCCTAAATTTTGCTCTAGGACTTTTATAGTTTAAATCTTACATTTAAGTCTTTAATACATCTTGGGTTGATTATTGTATATGATGAAAGGAAGGGGTTCAGTTTCAATCTTCTGGATATGGCTAACCAGTTATTACAGCATCACTTATTGAATAGGGAATCTTTTCTTCACTTCTTGTCATTGTCAACTTTGTTGAAGATCAGATGGCTGTAGGTGAGCGGCTTTATTTCTGGATTATCTATCCTGTCCCATTGGTCTATGTGTCTAATATCCATGATCTATAAGGAACTTAAGCCATTCCACAAGCAAAAAGGAATCCCATTAAAAAAATGGGCAAAGGACATGAACAGACAGTTCTCAAAAGAAGACATACATGTGGCCAACAAATACATGAAAAAATGCTCAATGTCTCTAGTCATTAGAGAAATACAAATGTAAACCACAGTGAGATACCATCTCACACCAGTCAAAATTACTATTATTAACAAGTCAAAAAATAACAGATGCTGGTGAAGTTACAGAAAGAAGGGAGCAATATACACTGCTGGTGGGAGTGTAAATTAGTTCAGCCACTGTGGAAAGCAGCTCAGTTTTAAGTTGATATTTCTGTTGTCAATTCTTTGAAATTTCTCAAAGAACTTAAAACAGAACTTCCATTTGACCCAGCAATACTACTGCTGGGAATATACCCAAAGGAAAGTAAATTGTTCTACCAAAAGGACACATGCACTCATTATGCATACTCATGAATATTGCAGCACTATTCACAACAGCAAAGACATGGGATCAGCCTAGATGTCCATTAATAGTGAACTGGACAAGGAAAATGCAATATATATGCCATGGAATACTATGCAGCCATAAAAAGGAATGAAATCATGTCTTTTGCAGCAACAAGGATGTAATTGGAGTCCATTATCCTAAGTGAATCAACGCAGAAACAGAAATTCAAATACCACATGTTCTCACTTATAAGCAAGAGTTAAACATTGAATATACATGGATACAAAGATGGGGAAAATTAGACACAAGGGACGACTTGAGGTGGGAGGCTGGGAGAGGGATGTGAGTTGAAAAACTACCTATCAGTTAGTATGCTCCCTACCTGGATGATGATATCATTTGTACACCAAACCTCAGTGGCATGCAGTTTTTACCCATGTAACAAACCTGCACATATAACCCCCTGAAATTAAAATAAAATAAAATAAATTTAAAAGACAGTGTTATATTTGCTTTATTTATGCATCTATGTATGTATGTATGTATGTATGTATGTATGTATGTATCTATCTATCTATCTATCTATCTATCTATCTATCTATCTATCTATCTATATTTTTCACTTAAAAACTAGATCCTAAGACACTCCTTTTGCCAATCCATTTATTCATTTTAAATATTTTGAGGCTTAGTGGCAAAATCCCTAAGAATGTATACACTAAGTAAACCATCAACCTCAATTTATTCTAAGAATAAAATAATGGATATGTGCCATAATGTTACCATAAAAAAGTTTAGTATATCATTACCAAGAGCAAAGAAAATTGCAGAATTCATTAAATAAGTAGTGCCTGGAAGAATTTAGAAATTATTTTGGTAAACGTATATTTAATAAATTAAAAATATTTCAGATAAAAATTCAGGCTATAAAACAAGGGAATGATATAATTGTGTGTATATCTAACATATATACAATATGTTAATTCCAGTTTTCACTGGGTGGTACCCTCATAATTTCCATGCTTTTATTCATTTAGAAGATTTTCTGCACTAGGACAACTTAGAAAGCTATAGTTTAATAGCTTTCGTCTGAGCTGCAGAAATGCTTTTGTTGAGCTGCAGTGAGCCATCCTTTGAGAATATTTATTTCACTGATGTTTTCTTCAATCATGTTTTTGATTATGACTTCCATTTCAAATTTTCTGCCTTCACAGAAACACATACAATTTTCAGCTCAGATATCTGCTTCTTCCATATATACTAGCCTCTCACTAATCATTTTTGTTCATTTTTAAGCAATCTCTACGAATGTTACCCTGAAAGTACACATTCCAATTTCTACACTATTTATTCATCTTTATATTACTGTGATATTTATATTATGTTGTGATATATTTAGTTGATTTTCATTCATTCATCTCACACACAATGTGTTATTTTTTATCTCAGTTTATATCCTCTTTATGTTATTCATTTCTCTATCATGGCGGGTTGCTTGAATATTATCAATGATGTAAATATATTTCTAAATAATCTTGCTAAGGTAAGTTTTATTAAATAACTTTCAGAGACCTCTGTGATTATACCCTAATCAAGATTATATTTTAGTTATAGAGTGTTCATTAAAGTTTACTGGTTGTTCTGCTCATTCAGAGAAATATATGTACTCCACTTGGTCTGGAACCTTAACTATTGAGGCCTGCTCAAGTCTCCTTCACAGATAAGCTTACAAGCAGGTTGAAAGCATAATTCCTAGCTTGATCCCTAATGTCTAGTAAGCATTCTTGAACCAAGATTATCTTACTAGTGTAGCATAGTTAAGAGCATGGATTTTGAAACCATAGCTTGAGTTCCAACTCTGCTACTTTCTATTTGACCTTGAATAAGTTACCTGAAACCTTTGTGACTCAATATCCTCATTCAAAAATGAAAATAAAAAGAATACCTTCTTTATTGGTTGTTGTGAGAGTTAACTAAATTAATGTGTATAAAGTCCTTATATAATATTTGTCTAGCCAGGTGTGGTGGCAGGTGCCTGTAATCCCAGCTACTGGGGAGGCTGAGGCAGGAGAACCGCTTGAAACTGGAGGCAGAGTTTGCAGTGAGCCGAGATCGCACCATTGCACTCCAACCTGGACAACAAGAGCAAAACTCCACCTCAAAAAAAAAGAAAAAAGTAATAAAAAGAAAATTTGTGATTCCATTTAAAACACAGGCAATTAAATATTCAACTCATTTCTCACTAAAAAATAAAATAAAAATACTGTTTGTCACCTAGAAAGTGCTATAAAAATGTCGGCAACTATTTTTATTTCTCTCCGTCCCTACCTCACCACCACTGTTTCTTGACTCTCTGGAAACCTAATCAGAAAAAGAATAAGAAAAAAGATCATCTAAAGTGTATAATACCTCTTTATTTGGACTCCTCTTCCCTCTCCCCTGACCTGTAGCTTAATAATTGTGAATAATAGACTTTTGGAGAAGTGACTTCCTGCCACACCATCTCATCCAACCTTTTTTTTCCCATTGCTCTATGTCTTGTCCAGATGATTTTGTGATTTGTCATTTTCAGGTGGTTATATATACATACCAACAGGGATAGTGATGGTGGTATGAGAAAAAGCACTCTCAGTCACTCAAAACACAATATACATGATATAGAAATGTTCTAGAATACTTCCATTAATTTCTCCTTTTTATCTATTTTTTGAGCCAAGAATCAGACATGATAAAGAAGTGGAGGATACAAACAAATAAAAGAACATTCCACGCTCATGGGTAGGAAGAATCAATATAGTGAAAATGGCAATACTGCCCAAGGTAATTTATAGATTCAATGCCATCCCCATCAGGCTATCAGTGACTTTCTTCACAGAATTGGAAAAAACTACTTTAAAGTTCATATGGAACCAAAAAAGAGCCCACATTGCCAAGTCAATCCTAAGCCAAAAGAACAAAGCTGGAGGCATCATGCTACCTGACTTCAAACTATACTACAAGGCTACAGTAACCAAAACAGCGATATACACGGATGGAACAGAACAGGGCCCTCAGAAATGATGCCACATATCTACAACCATCTGATCCTTGACAAACCTGACAAATACAAGAAATGGGGAAAGGATTCCCTATTTAATAAATGGTGCTGGAAAAACTGGCTAGCCATATGTAGAAAGCTGAAACTGGATCCCTTCCTTACACCTTACACAAAAATCAATTCAAGATGGATTAAAGACTTAAACGTTAGACCTAAAACCATAAAAACCCTAGAAGAAAACCTAGGCAATACCATTCAGGACATAGGCATGGGCAAGGACTTCATGTCTAAAACACCAAAAGCAATGGCAACAAAAGCCAAAATTGACAAATGGGATCTAATTAAACTAAAGAGCTTCTGCATAGCAAAAGAAACTACCATCAGAGTGAACAGGCAACCTACAGAATGGGAGAAAATTTTTGCAATCTACTTATCTGACAAAGGGCTAATATCCAGAATCTACAATGAACTCAAACAAATTTACAAGAAAAAAACAAACAACCCCATCAACAAGTGGGCAAAGGATATGAACAGACATTTCTCAAAAGAAGACATTTATGCAGCCAAAAGACACATGAAAAAATGCTCATCATCACTGGCCATCAGAGAAATACAAATCAAAACCACAATGAGATACCATCTCACACCAGTTAGAATGGTGATCATTAAAAAGTCAGGAAACAACAGGTGCTGGAGAGGATGTGAAGAAATAGGAACACTTTTACACTGTTGGTGGCACGGTAAACTAGTTCAACCATTGTGGAAGTCAGTGTGGTGATTCCTCAGGGATCTAGAACTAGAAATACCATTTGACCCAGCCATCCCATTACTGGGTATATACCCAAAGGATTATAAATCATGCTGCTATAAAGACACATACACACATATGTTTATTGTGGCACTATTCACAATAGCAAAGAGTTGGAACCAACTCAAATGTCCAGCAATGATAGACTGGGTTAAGAAAATGTGGCACATATGCACCATGGATATTATGCAGCCATAAAAAATAATGAGTTCATGTCCTTTGTAGGGACATGGATGAAGCTGGAAACCATCATTCTCAGCAAACTATCGCAAGGACAAAAAACCAAACACCGCATGTTCTCACTCATAGGTGGGAATTGAACAATGAGAACACGTGGACACAGGAAGGGGAACATCACACACCAGGGCCTGTTGTGGGTTGGGGGGAGGGATAGCATTAGGAGATATACCTAATGTTAAATGACGAGTTAATGGGTGCAGCACACCAACATGGCACATGTATACATATGTAACTAACCTGCACGTTGTGCACATATACCCTAAAACTTAAAGTATAATAAAAAAAAAAGAAAAAAAAAGAAGTGGATTCACTTGTTATCTTTCAGAAAACAGAATTACTACATTTTCCCCATTGTTGTGTGTTTATCTAATTGGTATTTTGTGTGGTTGTTTATTGATTTCTGCAATCCAGATCCATCATTTTTGTTATTAATAGATATGTTTCCTAAATGCTATTAATAGTTCAAATCTCATATCTAGTTTGGGTTTCTGTTCTATGTCTTCTAATTTTGATATATATAGAGAGAGATAAGAGGCAGTAGCAGGTGCTGCTGTTCAGATTTAACTTTAAGATTAATTATAAGAGTCCATTTGCAAGGATTTGGAATTTGGAGTGGCAATTGTTTTTTTTTTTTTGAAAAGCAAGAGTAATGAATTATGATTTAAAACATTTAACACTACCTAGGAAGGTAGCAATTCTGATACATACTAACTTTCCTGACAAGAGGCCGCTAATATAAACAGTGTGAATTCCACAGTGAGTAAGATGAAATTTAGATGGATAGAGAGATCCTCTTCAGATGAACTTTAGTTGATGACATTGATGACTAAATGAAGAAAGCTGCTGAATAGGGACAACAGAAGATTCCTGTTTTTCTAGTGGAGAAATATTGGGTCTTATGTTGTCATTTAATGGGATAACAAATCATATAAAAGACATAGTTTTGGGAATTAATAAGTCAAATTTTAGAAATTCTGGATCTGATATGCCTTTGGGCATCATATTGAAATTGTCAGTAAGCTAATAAGAAAAAGAAAAGGAGTCTGGCCATGTTAGCTCGCATTTTATTTAATAAATATTTTATTTTGCATACTCCATGACAGGTACTGAAAAAAGACTCGTGCTATGACAATGAATAAGGCAAAATCCTCTCTCTCTTTCCTGCCAGAGACTTTATTTAGCAGCATGAGCCAGGAAAAACCACACAGTCTGTCTCTGATAAAAGTAATAAGTTAGGTTTTGTTAATTAAAAAAAGTGTTTTTGTCTATTGTCTACTTTGTTTTATTACTAAACTAGCAAATAATACACAAGAGGTCTTAAAGGATATGTTAAGAGAATGGCTTCCTTGTTTTTTATGGGGTAAGCTCAAAGTTCGAATTGTATGAAATAAGGAGTGAAAAATACACCATGCAGAGCAGCTCAAAACTGAGGACTTACTGTCTTAAACACCATTTTACCCAGAAAGTACTACATTAACATTCAAATTTCTACCTAAGGATATTCTTGCTATGTCATAGTTACACATTTTGCATTCCATTTTTTTAGCATGCCACTGTGTCTATTTGAGGTTTCACAAAAGCAGGCCTAAGTGTTCCAATCACAGATGGCAATAGCAATTGAAACCTAGTAGAGTATATACTTCATGTAAAAGAGAATAATACAGAAGACTAGTCTAGTACATGAGTCATTCATTAATCCAGTCTTGCTAAGGAGAAGCCACAATGACAGCATAATGATATGTCTTGAAGACATGAAAGGCTCTGGAGGATTTACCTTCTGGGAAAAATAAATTGGCATAAACAAAAGTCTAGAATAAAGGAAGAGTTTGGGGATAATTAGGAAACACTGTGTAACTTAATATGGCTACAGTGTGGTCTTCCTTTCCTTGGATCTTCAGAGATAATTAATTTTAAAGGTATACCTTATGCATTGTAATTATAAGGAACAAAATTATTTAGTTTCAACAATTGAACTCTTTAAAAAGTGGCTTCAAATCTTGAAGAAACAGCCAAGAAGAATAGTTAGTAATTTGTGATATGTTCTAATTCAGAGTTTAGTTCCCAGTTCCGCATTCAAATAAACTCCTGCTACTCATTCTGACAATACTAGATACTATTTATTAAATTTTTTAATATATCACCCTTCAGAGTAGGCAGGGTTTTTTTTCAGCATCCATGTGGAAGTTAGCATTTTATGTGAAATGTTTTTTTCTTTAGCAATAATCACGAGTATAGATAAACAATTTTGAACACCTTTTCCCTCCATAATTTGTATACCTCATTATAAGAACAAACGTAGTGTCACAGAATTTCAGAAGTAGAAGAAACTTTAGCTAATCCCTCGTCTGACAAAACTGAAGTCCTAAGAGTAATTAACTCATTTCAATGGTCACATAAAAGTTTGAACATATTCTACTGGCCAGTGTCCACACCATTTTCCAGAACTATATATGTGGTAAAATTATATAACCACCTCTAAGTATATTTCTCTGATATTCCTTTGCTTTTCATATTGAAAATATTTCAGCATCCTATATAAAGATGCAATTCCTGATTGTCGTAAGGGACTTTATAAACAACAATATCCAACTGGCATGGCAGCAACATCATCCCAGGTAATGTTACCTCATTTCCAGTCTTTCTGATCCAGTTGACCAAACATATGAGTGCCCAAACCTTTCTAAAATGCCTTTTTTATCCATTAAAAACATAGTGCTGTAATTACTGCATATAAAATAAGCTTCTATGGTAAGTAATTTGACCTCCAAATATTGTGTCTCAAATAAAATAGAAGTTTGTTTCTTTTATAAAAGTCTAGAAATTGGTAGGCAGTCCAAGATGGATAGACAACTTGGTTCCATAGGATTTTTCTTAGAAACACAGTTAAATTCCAACTTGTTCTGTTATCCTCTAGTGTGTTGTCCTTTTCTGCATGGTCTCAGTTGGCCTTGCTTCACTTTTGTGTTTTTATCCCAAGTAGGTTTGTAGGTGTACATGAAGAAGTGAAGGGACAGTATATTCCCATTAAGCAGATGTAATAGTACAGATTCAAAGAAGCAAAACCAGTAGGATACAAAGACACATAAATGCAATATTTTATAGTTTGGATATTTATCCCTATCCAAATCTCATGTTTAACTGTAGTCCCTAATGCTGGGAGTGGGCCTGGTGGGAGGTGCTTGGATCATGTGAAGCAGATCCCTCCTGGCTTCAGGCTGTCTTCATGATAGTGAATTCTTGTGAGAGGTGGTCATTTAAAAGTGTGTGACACCTCCCCCCTTCACTTTCTTTGTTCCTGCTTTGGCCATGTAAAGTGGCTGCTCCCACTTTACCTTCTGCCATGATTGTAAACATCCTGAGGCCTTCCCAGAAGCCAAGCAGATGACAGGACGAAGCTTTGTATAAAGCCTCAGAACCACGAGGCAATTAAACCTCTTTTGTGTAGTAAGTTACCCAGTTTCAGTTCTTTCTTTATAGCAATTCAAGAATGGCCTAATACAGAAAATTGATACCAAGGAGTGGGGCATTGCTATTAGGTTGGCAGAAAAGTAATGGCAAAAAACACAATTACTCTTGCACTAACCTAATATAAAGATATCTGAAAATGTGGAAGCAGCTTTGAAACTAGGTAACAGGCAGAGGTTGGAAGAGCTTGGAGGGCTCAAAGAAGACAGGAAGATGAGGGAATGTTCAAAATTTCTTTAAGACTGGTTAATTGGTTATGACCAAAATGCTGATAGTGATATGGACAGTGAAATCCAGGCTAAGGAGGTCTCAGATGGAAATGAGGAACTTATTGGGAACTGGAGCAAAGGTCATTTGTGTTATGCCTTAGCAAAGAACTTGGCTGCATTCTCTTCATGCCCATTGGATCTGTGGAAGTTTGAACTTCATAGTGGTGATTTAAGGTATCTGGTGGAAGAAATTTCTAAGCAGCAAACTGTGGTTTGGCTGCTTCTAACTGCCTATGCTTAGATGTAATAGCAAAAGAATGACTTAAATTTGGAACTTATATTTAAAAGGAAAACAGAGAATATAAGTTCGGAAAGTTTGCAGCCTGGCCACGTGGCAGAGAAAGGAAAAGCTTTTTCAGAAGAGGAATTCAGGCAGACTTGGAGCAACCACTTGCTAGAGAAATTGCATAACTTACAGAGAACCAAGTGTGTGCTTAAGCCAGGAGAATGTGAGAAAGGCCTCAATGGCATTTCAGAGACTTTTGCAGCATTCCCTCTCGTCACGGCCCAGAAGCCTAACAGGGAAGAGTATTTTCTTGAGCTAGGCCACAGAAACACTATTCCCTACATCCAGGACACTCTGGCTCCAGTCTCAGCACAAAAGGCCCTAGATACTGCTCATGCCGCTGCTCCAGAGAGCTCAAGCTGCCATAAGTCTTGCCAGCTTCCACGTGGTGTTAAACCTGTGGATATACAGAGTACACGAGTGATGGAATCTTGGCCTCCTCTGCCTAGATTTCAGAGGATGTGTGGAAAACCCTGAGTGCCCAGGCAGAAGTCAGCTACAGGGGCAGAGCCCCCACAGAGAACTTCTACTAGGGCAGTGCCAAGGAGAAATGTAGGGTTGGAGCCCTCACACAGAGTACCCATTGGACACTGCCAAGTGGAGCTCGGAGAATGAGGCACCAGACCCCAGAATGGCAGTTCCACTGGCAGATTGCATGCTGTGCCTGGAAAAGCTGCAGGTACTCAATAACCTGTGAGAGCAGCCTGAGGAACTGAATCCTGCAAAGCCATAGGAGTTGAACTGCCCAAGACCTTGGAGCCCTCCCCTTGCACGAGCGTGTTCTGGATATTAGATGTGGAGTCAAACTAGATTATTTTGGAGCTTTAGGATTTAATGGCTGCTCTGCTAGGTTTCGAACTTGCGTGGGGCCTGTAGCCTCTTTGTTTGGGGAGATTTCTCCCTTTTGGAAGGAAAGTGTTTATCCAATGCCTATACTCCCATCATATTTTGGAAGTAGTTAACTTGTTTTTTCATTTTACAGGCTGATAAATGGAAGAGATTTGTCGTGTCTCAGATGAGACTTTGGAGTTTTGAGTTCATGCTAGAATGAGTTAAGACCTTAGGGGACTATTGGGAAGGCATGATTGTATTTTGAAATGTGAGAAGGATATGAAATTTGGGAAGGGTTGGGGCAGAAAAATATAGTTTGGATATTTGTCCCTGCCCAAATTACACGCAGAGATGTAGTCCCCAGTGTTAGAGGTGGGGCCTAGTAGGAGGTGTTTGGATAATGGGGACAGATCCATCATGAATAGCTTGGGCCATCTCCTTGGTGACAAGTGAGCACTTCCTCTGAGTTCACGTGAGATTTGATCATTTAAAATTGTATGACACCTCTCCCGTCACACGTGTTCTCTTTCTCTCTCGTGCCTGCTTTTGCCATGTGACCTGTGCCCTTCCCCTTCACCTTCCCCTATGATTTCCCCTAAGCTTACTGATGCCACATCAGAAGCTGAGAAGATGCCTATTGCCATGTTTCTTGTACAGCCTACAAAACTGTGAATCAATTAAACTTTTCTTTATAAATTACCCAGTCTCAGGCATTTTCTCAAATCAGTGCAAGAATGGCTTAAACACACCCAGCTGAAAATCCCTTAATTATGGCAGAAGAAAAAAATAGGTTTTGACAAATAACTGGTTGTCCTCCCCTGTTCTAGAAGATTCGTTGGTTAAAATGTTTCAAAATTGGATTAAAATATTTTAATTCACATTATTTTGTCTAGTAAATGTTCATCTCAAGTTTTCTCTGTTTAACCTTTCAATTCCAGTTATTCAGAATTTCTCATTATCTTTTCTGTATAGCTTGTTTCTCCTCAGTCCTTATTCCTGGACTTCACTCTTATCCTTCTTTCTCTTCACCTGAAATATACTTTTTTATTTTTTTCCAGCAATACGGTTGTTTACTTTTCTTAAAATACACAACACAAACATTCACATAAGATCTATCCAATTTATTTCATTCTACACATACCTTTTTCTCATTTGTCATTCCTTCAGCATCAGATATACAGTCATTACTTCAGTATAATATTCATTATTTTAACTTTCTTCTTAAAAGTTTTTATTTAGTGTATTCATTAATCGTATTTTTCTCTTTCCTTTCTCCTTTTCTTTCCATCTCTCTTTAAACCTAGTGTAAGTAAATAAAACAAGATTCACTAGTTGAGTAAGATTTTGAAGTTTTGTTATTAAAAACACTAAATGTTAGCAAGATAAAAAGCTTTATTTGTACATAATTCATGCAAAGCTAATTACAGATGTAAAGCTTCCCCTTAGAATAATAAATCCAGTAAATCCATGATGAAAATTTGCCAGGATAGAGTGAAAAGTTACAATCAAAATATAAGGATTTGTTGCTATCTCTCTCTGAGAGAACCAGCACTTTGGGGTAAAGAGAAAAGTTAAGAAAATACTGACAATGTGATAGTGGAAGTGTGGAGTAGGAAGGAAAATTGAAAAGAAGGGACAGCATGGAGATTAGGGTATGGGTATCTCCAAAAGGCTCTTTTAGATTTATTCTGCTTGAACTCACAAAGCACATAAGGGAAGAGTTGAGAAAGGTTTGCAGTATATTCCAGCTTCTTCCTTATCAACAATTGCCTACTTGTGAATTGCTTTTTACTGTTACCTACCAAACTTTGATGAGATACCTAAGGTATCATGTGAGGACACTTCATCTTTCCAGGCAAATTGTAATGTTCACAAGAATAGGGAACACGCATTTCAGCACTGAGAACTACTGAAGGCACAATTTTATTGAATGTTTATTAGTTACTCAAAAGTGGACAAACTTGTGAGTCAGGACTTTATAATAATCCTTGGACTAATATTCTTTCCTCTGATTATGTGACTCATGTAAACAAGACACTCTTTCCTCCATGTGACTCTTCTGAACACCTTCATAAAGTTCATGATAAGGTACAGAATATTAAGACATTTATAACATTTATCTCACATTTTCTCCTCCACTTACAAGAGGAAAAGAATCAGTAGCTACCTTTAATCTTTCTAAATCCATATACAATCAGCTTCCTTCCATTTCCTGTCCTCCTTTCTAGAGCTTGACCTTTATTTCTGTTCCATTAGTAAATGGGTTTGTGTTTGTTTCTACTGGCCAAAACCTCTTTTGCTTAGAGGGAGGAGAAAGAGATCTTACTTATATCCTCAGAAATCCATTTGCTTGATGGAAAAACTTATACTACAGAAGGCCAGAGAAGAAAACTGCCCTTCTGGGGTATGTGACCTATCCATTGCTGTTCCCTAGATGTTAATAAAATAATACTTTATTTCATAGTAGCATATAGCTTTGAGTGTATATGGAAACCCTATAAAGTAGCAGTCTAAATGATAAGATTAGGAAACTAATATCCTATCCCTGACACCTATCAGCCAGATGAGTAAAAAAGGTCATTGATATAGGTACCAAATTTTCAAAGACAATTCTCATTAATTTTTTTATTATCCTCATTTTGAAATAATGTGACATAACCTGTTGTCATATTAGAGGATGATATCAAGAGCTCTACAAAAATGTGGTTATATTTATTCTTATTTGCATGAGTCAATTATTCAATTTAATTGCTAGCACAAGGGCCAGACATCTATCAGAGTATCCACTATAAAGCCATGTCACACTGACGTTTTTTATTTGTGCACCTATCCCCTTTATTCTTTTTTCTCCCTCTGTACCTTTCTCTTGCTTTCTACCATCCTTCTCATTTTCTTCCTACCCTGTGAATATTTATGCTTTCACAATGAACTCATAGAAACTCCTTACCTCTGTAGCTTAAGAAAAAAGCAGGTGCATACTTAAATTTAGCCCAAAACAGACTGTATTTTCCACTTTTCAACTAGCTGATTTTATATCTCATAAACAACACTCAGATATTCTATTTTGTTTTCCTTTTTATTAAGGCCACTACTGGGCAATAAAGTGGCTGACTCTGTCCTCTCAGCACACTTCAGTGAGGCTACTTTAGCACCATGTGTGAGTTGGCAGCACTTTAAGAGACCAGTGATATGGTGGTATATTGTTGGGAGATTATCAAGCCATATCCACTGAGATTGAAAAATTCTTTAGAAACATTGGATGGAGAAAATTAAATGAACTGACAACCCAGAAGAGTGTGTTACTTAAGGGCCGTGAAAATACTTGAAAACTTAATTATGAAGAAGGATGTGATGATTCTAGGCCAGGAGGTCAACTTCTGACTTTGACTCTCATGGACAAAAAAATCCTTTTATGTGAAATGAAATTCATTAGACATTTTCATTAAGTTTCTTATTACATACTTACTAATTAAAAGGTTTTTTAACCTTTAAATGATAAATTACCAGCAAATACCTCCATAATATTCACATGCCTGGCATAATGTCCTTTAGAGCAAAATGCAGCAGCCATAGCATTATGTATTAAGAAGGGAAATTGAGCTCTTCATAAAGTACTGAAAATATCTTCCTCTGGTATATTCCAAACACAGATCCCTAAGAACACTCAATTAATAATATGTTGAGATATACGGGTGCCTTACTCACTAATCACACGATAAAAACATAACATACATTCTTTTCTGCTTTGTTTTTCTTTTTTTAATGTCTAATCTCAAAATGTAAATTTGCCCCTACAGAGAACATCAAAAGACAAATTCCCTTAGTGGCATTTTACAATTAATTTTAATATCCGTAAATTAAGCAGATAAATTATTCTAGTGGTAGCATATGCAAATATGTTGCTGCATATCTTTGAAGTAGCTGTTATTAAATGTAGATACCATCTCTGCTTGGGGCTGAGTGTTAAAATAGGTTTTACAAAATAACAAAAGATGATGTATGTTATTTTCCAGATAGTTCCTTTTACTCAATAGATTTTCTTAGACAGGAAACACAAAAATGCTGTATCTCAAGTTCCATAACTTATATTCATGGAATGTGAGTGTAAGTGTGAACAAAGATTTTAAAATAAATAATGTCAATATTCAATCTAAAGAAGAAAGACATAATTAATACTGGAAAAATCCATCTCAAATCAAAAATCTTACTTAAGAAATTTGAATTAGATATGTGAATTCATATCTAAATGAATTATCCCACGTGATAAAAACTTGTAATATTTTCTGCACCTGTGTTGCATTTTTAAATATCCCCCCAATTCATAGGAGAATTTTAGTCTAAGCATAGCAAGTTGACCATTAAGTATAACTAAAGAGTTTTCAGGGAGTCATGATATTGAAATCTGGGGCACTAAGGTAATTCCATGGAGTAGACATATTGGTCTTGGCTAGTTTCATTCCAGGCAAATAACACGATAATAAGAGCAATGCTACCGAAAATCTTTAAGCAAAGATTATAGGGTAATGGCAGAAGAAAATATTCATGAATTGTGGAAAATGATTTAGCAAATAAGATTTCCCAAATTCTGGAATTTATTATTAAGTAGGGTACCCCAGAGGCTGTTAAAGCAATAATCGAATCCTCTTCCTATTTTTCAGAGTTAATACATTGGTATATCATCATATTAATATAGATAAGCAAATTTCTATAAAGGATATGGCAATAGTGTGTTAGGCAATTTGGAATTAAGTTAAACAAACATTCTGATGATTCAGTTCCAATGGAAGGTAATAGTTGGTGGAATTCTTTAGCCTTTCTCCATGTCTCTGTCCTGTTTAACATTTTTCTGGTGAACAGGACACAAGCACAGAGGGAATATTTAGTTGAGAGGTGGTTCCCAAGAGTGGTAAGATTAGTTAATGAGTTGTGATTTAAAAAATAATAAAGATTTCAAAAGTCCAGGGCACATATTCATGAGGAAGAAAAACTAGAAAAAAAATGACAGGTACAACTGTGCTCTTATAATTAGGCTTGAAAGCCATATTTCGTCAATAGCTCATGGCCAAAATTGTGGAGAAAAAAAAATCTAGGAAGATGTTTCCATTTCTAACAATATGACAAACTACAAATCCTGAAAAACCTTGCTATTAAAAAGCAACAAAAATAGATAAATATTTTAAAAAATATTTTATTTCACAGATACTAAGGTGAGATATTAATTTCCCCAGGAGCTGGATCTAGTTATTTTTTAAAAATAGCTTCATTGAGGTATAATTGACGTTGAATAAACCACACATATTTAAAGTGAATGACTTGATAACTTTTGAAAAATATATAAACTTATGGAAAACTCACCACATTCAAGATAATAAATGTTTCAATTGCCCTGTAAGTTTTCTTTTGATCCTTTGGAGTTCCTCCCTCATACCCTTTCCCACATCCTACTTCTGAGGAAAACATTGCTTTGCTCTGCCACTATATATTAGTTTGCATTTTCTAACATTGTGTACACATTACAACATACAACATGCACTCTTTTCTTGTTGGACATTTTTAATCAGATTAATTAATATGTGATTCATTCATGCTAAAGCATGTATCAATAGCTCAGTTTTTATTGCTGAATAATATTCTATTATAGGAATATTTCACAGCTTATTTAGCCATTTACCCAGTGACAGGCATTTGATTTATTTCTAGTTTGTGGTTATTACAAATAAAGCTGCAGTGAACATTCATGTACAAGTCTTTGTAGAGATATGTTTTCAATTCTCTTAAGTACATATGTAGGAATAGAGTACCTACATCATGCAGTAAGGATATAATTAACTTTTTAGGATACTGCTAAATTTTCTATAGTTGTAGTAACATATTACATTTCTACTAGCAGTTATACAAGCTCTAGTTCCTCCACAACTTTGCCAACACTTTTATGACCAATCTTTGTTTTTTTAATTGTAGCTATATTAATACTTTTATTCTGGTATTTAATTGTGGTTTTAACTTGCTTTTTACTAGTGACTAATGGTGTTGAGCATCTTTTCATCTGCATATTTGACATCTGCATATCTTCTTTGATGAAGTGACTGTACTATAATTCTTAGCAAAGCATCAAGTCAAACTTTTGGCCCATTATAATTCAGTTATCTGTTGTATTACAAAATTTTAGATTTGTTTATTGTATTACATATTATATATAATGGTTACAGAAAAATATGACACAAATAAAGAGAAAAATTTATCAAAAATGACAGATGTTAGAATTAACAGTTTGGATTGACTGATTTTTCTCCTCATTATGTGTCATAGTTTTCCGATTTTTGCATGCTTTGTAAATTTTATTTGATTCCAATTATTATGGTTTTACCCTTTTAGATATTGGACATTTCTGTGTTTCTATAAATATTCTTGAGCTTTTTCCTGCAATGCAGTCAAGTTACTTGGAAAACACTTAATATTTTTCCAATCTTGCTTTTAGGATCTCTAAATGGGTGCTTAGTCTAGGAACATTTATTCTCCACTTTTGAGTCATTATTCTTTTCTATACTCTATGTAATATCTCATGAATTATGGCTTTTTCCAATCTGGCTGGTAAGAACAGGTACCATTCCTGAACCTTTGTGTGCAATCGGGACTGTGGTCTCTGAACTTTGGAAGACAGATCTTTATACATATATATATATATGGAAACTTCATATGTAACAAGGAGGTATTTATAATCAGTGGTGAAGAAAAATATCAAAAGACATGCTAGAATAAATTTCTAAATAAAAAATGTTTTTCCCTACTAAAGCAAAACAAAACAGAATTATCAGTACCTGCAATTCCAAATGGATTTTTAGTTGAAATGTGAAATACAAATGCTTAAATTACTTCACAACTATGTAGAAAATATATTCATTATTCTGGGGAAAGAAAACTGTTTTGTTTTTATTATGAGCAAGATAGGCAACCTATAATAGGAAAAAATGATAAACTAAATTACAATAAAATTATAAAATTTTGTTATCTTAAGACACTATAAAAATGAAAAGACAAGCTTCACACCCCTTCTACCCCCTGCCAATAGGAAGGAAATATTTCATAAGATGTAACAGAAACTCTTAGTGCATTTGTATACAAACTAGTATAATTGTTTTTTCAAATTAGTAGGATAAAAAGAATCTAATAGGAAACTGAGCAAAGAATATGAGTAGGTGTTTTACTCAAAAGAAACACAAATAATAAATATAAGGAATGATGTTCAACATCAGGAAATGTATATTAAAGCTACAACAGGAAAACATTTTATACTTAACAACTTTGCAAAATTTAAATGTTTGCCGAGGTTGTAGAGAAGAGTAATTAACATACTGACAGTACAAGTGTATATTGATACCAGCGCTTTGGAAAATAATTTATCATTAGTTCTTAAAATTGACTATTTGTCTGCCCTAAACAGGCATGAGTACATGTTGTACATGAGTACAACACAGTAACCAGAAGAATAAATGTGGAAATTCCACTATGCAGAAAAAGTACCTGTTGGTCAGGACCTGGTGGTGAAAGTGTAGGGAAGATAACAAATTTAAGGACAACAATAATCCAACTCATGTGGAAAAGGAGCAGCAGTCTCACTTCAGGTTATCTGAGTAATAGTAATAAAATCTAAGGAAAGATTTAAAAACATAATAGGGTTTCAAAAATTAAGAGGTTTGTATGTGGAATCATTATATTTACTATCTGTGGCCACAGTAGCAAAACTATAGCTAGTGAATAAATGTTCAAAAATGAAATTTTTGCCTAATTAGAGGAAGAATGTTTTTTTAGAAAAATAAGCCTTCAATATATTGCATTTCAAAAATAAAGGGACATAATATCTTCAAGTTTCTCCTAAATAATTTAGAAAACAATTATATATATATACACACACACACACACACATATACAGACTATATATGACATATGTTACATGTCATATCACATATATATTTGTCTGTATATATGTGTGTGTGTGTGTGTGTGTATTTGATCATTGAACAATGGGGGGTTAGGGGTGACAACCCTCTGCTCAGTAGAAAATTCATTTATAACCTTTGATTGCCTAAAAACTTAACTACTAATAGCCTGATGTTAACTGGAAGCCTTATCAATAACATAGTTGATTAACACATATTTTGCATGTTAAATATATGCCATATTCATAAAGGAAGTTAGAGAAAAGAAAATGTTATTAAGAAATAACAAGGAAGAGAAAATATATTTATAGTATCTTGCCGTATTTTCGATACAGTACATAAACTTCTAGAGTTTCAACATAAACTTACAATAGTGTTGTCTGTTTTCAAAATGAGTTGTCTGAAATGGCAGGCAACCACAGCTGCAGACAGCCATCTATGATATATATCACTCAATTCAACTTTTTCTTGTAATGTCATAACTTTTATCTGCTTCTTGGAATCACTTCCAGTATCACTAGGGGCACTTCATATGGGTGTCATGGTGTTATTCAGGTTTATGGTTTTGCACTAAACATGATGAAAGGTATGCGAGAACCAAAACAGATCACCTTTTACTACAATACGCAACTTACTAGAAAGAAAACCTCTCATGGGGAGATGACTATCATCACATGGCGTTTTAAGCTCACAACACTTGTTCTCACCACAATAGCTACAGGAGGTGGCTATGAAATTATTGCAGTAGTACAGTATATATTACAGTAAATTTTATGAAGTTATGAATTAATATTGCATTATGTTTGTTCACATTTCTCTTGCATAACTTCATAAAATTTAATCAAGTCATTATTAACAAAACAGTAATCAAAAAGTTTTTTACTCATGCCAATAGATCTTATGGAAATGTTTATTTTATGATAAAAAATGTTAGAAAAGAAACTTAAATATCTTCAAGTAAGAACTTAAATGAATATGTGAAATTCTAAGATGGTTTCCAAAAGTTCAAAGCAGCAGTCTTAGAAAGTCGTTTTGCATTTTATTGGCAAAATTAATGGTTCTGTAAAGCAGAATGAATATCATCATTTACTTTTTTAGTTTTTTAGTGTGTTTTTTATTGTTTTTGTGGGTACGTAGTAGGTGTATATATTTCTGAGATATTTTGATACAGGCATACAATGCTTAAGTGGAAAGTTTAATGATTGTATATATTAAACCCAAGCAACAAACAAGCACTTACACATCTGTGATAGATAGAATTCTAAGAGGACCCAATGTTTCCTACTCCCTGGTATTCTCACCTTGTGTAATCCCTATTCTCAACATTGAGCGTCATCAAAACCTGTGAATATCGTGGGATATTACTCTCATGATGAGGCTACTAATCAGTTAGTTATGAGTTCATCAAAAGGAAGATCATCTGGTTGGGTCTGATCTAATCAGGGAGCCTTTCTTGTAGTCAGAAGATAAAATGGAACCCTGCAGCAAGAACCTGGGAGGAGAGCTAGGAAATAAGTGCTAAGAGCAAACCCTCTGACAGCCAACCAAACAACAGGGGCATCTACCTTTCCTGAAGCTACAAGGAAATGAAATCTGCCAACAACAATGTGAGCTTGAAAGTGGATCTCAACTTCAGAAAGGAAAGAAGCCGTAGAGACAGATCAACTTGATTGCCTCCTTGTGATACCTTGAATGGAGGACCCAGTTAAATCATGCCTAAACTCAAGACACATGGAAACTGTGAGAAAATAAATTTGTGCTTTAAGTCTGATATGAGTTGGATATTTGTCCCTTCCAAATCCCATGTTGAAATGTGATGCCCAATGTTGGAGGTGGCGCCTAGTGAGGGGTGTTGGATCATGGGGGTGGATCGCTCATGAACGACTTGGGGCCTTCCCCACAAAAACGAATGGCAATGAATTCATGCAAGATCTGGATGTTTAAAAGACTGTGGCAACTACCTCCTCTTTCTCTCTTGCTCCCTATCACGTGATATGCTGGCTCACTCTGCTTTCTGCGTCATCAAAAGCTTCTTGAGGCCTCACCAGAAGCAGACCACATGTTCGTGCCATGCTTATACAGCCTGCGGAACCTCGAGCCAAGTAAATTTCTTTATATATTACCCACCCTCAGGTATTCCTTCATAGCAATGCACAGTGGACTAACACAAAGTAATTAAATTTGTGATAATTTGTTAATATAGCAATGTAAACCTAAATAAGAAAAAAGAATAATGCAAATTATCTTGAAGGATAAAGTGGTGGATTATGTATACAAAGAAATAACCCGACTTTTTAGTTTTCTTGAGAGAAAGGTTTTGCTATTTGTTTTGTTTCAAGCAGTGCTCATGTTAAATGAATGCACCGTGTCCACAACACTGACATAGTTTTTTAGAAAGTTTTCGGAGGTTGTTGTGTTTTTATCAACCTTTCATTTATTTGCAATGCCAGAATCCTGATAAATCTTCCTCACATAGGCAGATCCTATAGAAAATGAAAGAAAGTGCAAAACTCTTAAGCTACAAAAAAAAAGATTGTAGCTTTCCAGTAAAAGTAAAGCTACTGAAGTGGTGTTTTTGTAATACTATGTATCTTAGGAATTCAAAATATTTCATAAAATTTAAGTTTTATGGTTCAATACTTTAATAAATAAAAAATGTACTTTCTAATGCTTTCTCCCTCGCAATTTTTTCATCTTTTTCTCTCACAAATACTAATGACTTACTCCTGCATGGATAACAGTGAGCACTTCAAAGGGCCTTTGTTTACACAGTATGGTGGGAGGTATGTAAAATCCAGCTATTTGAAAGACACAGCTTATCTTTTGTGATAGTGGAAAACAAACCATTTTAACATATCCTATAGTAATATCAATTAGATTTTTATTAAAAGCATCACACTCTCCATTACTTTTGTTTCTCTATAAATATTACATCAAGTTCTTAACTCCTTTTTGTATTGATTCTTCTGTTAAAACATGGAAAGAATCTGCTTTTCACTATCTCCCTCAGGTTTCATACTCAAATAATCTCATTTAGCAGTTTAGGAAAACCTTAACTGCAGTTTACACAATCTTTCTAGCAATTTAATATCGTCATATTAGACAAAATCAGAAGAATTTGGAATCATATTTTCAGGTTTCCTTCCTAGATTAGTCCCGCTTCATTAAATTGGTATTATTATTCCACTGTCACGTTTTTAAAATTAAATATTATAGTTAATACCTGCCAGGAATTTGAGACACACTTATTGCCAACTCACCGTCCAGGATGTCTATACCACCGTAGACTCCCTCCAACATTGTGGGAGTAGAAGTATGTCATTGTCTTGAATTACAACAAAATTGATGATTATTATGTTGTAAATAATCTTCCAGTTTAATACACAACATAAGGGATCTGAAAATACTATTAATGCTGCATTTGTTTATTAGTAATATTGTTACCTATTTTTATGTGTATTCATCATTTATTCTTTCTTCTGTGCTAAATAGATTCATGCCTTTGCCCACCTTAAAATGTTTGCTATTAATTCAATTACTGTGTAAATTTAGACAAGATTCTCAAAAGAACACTTAAACGCTTCTTTTCTATGCTTCTCCAAAAAGACAATGTACAAAGAAAAAATATTTGCTTTCTCAGTGGGATCCATGTTAACATATTTAAAATTATAAAATTACATTTATTTTGTATTGTTAAATTAATAACTGTTCAGTTTGGCAATTATCAATAGACAATGACTCATGATTTGTTCTTTTAAAAATCCATATTTACTGGAAGGTAGTATTCAAAAGATAAAATTACATAATAAAACTTAGCAGAAAGGATTGGTATTTAACTTTATTGATGTTACAATCAATATAATCAAGTTTTCTCATATCTTATCTCTACCACTAAATATTGATTTTTATTCAGCATAAATGATTTTCTTTCAAGTTTTAATATGCTTGCTAATATAATGTATAATAATAATTATTATATGTTTAAGAAATTTACTATCTTTTATATAATTGTTTCTATGCAAGTCTTTTTCTATATCTCTCTTCTTCCCCAGTCCAGGCATTCCAACAGCTAAAAAGGATTGAAACAAAATAGAAATATTTTTGAACAGAGTCTATGGTTATAATGTACTAAGATTTAGCATCTAGATAATTCCAATCTATGAGGTTATAAAGCAAAATAGTCGATGATTTCAATAAGTATTATTATTATACCTGTAATTTAAAAAACATACTGTATACAGTGGGTTTGAAATAAAAATAAGGCACTCCAGCTAAAAAAAATTAAATAATTTATACAGTTTGTGGAAAACATTTATCACTAAAGAAAGTAAACTTATCATAAGTGCTCTAAACTTCTCCTATCCATAATGTGCCAGAGGAGATTACAAATTATCTCTTTATGTTTTCATCATATATGTAATTATATGTATGTATATAATCTGCATTATATATGTGTGTACATCTATCTATATATACAATTTGCATTCACAGATAGTTTTAGGTTTCTAACACCTCAAATTATTTTTAAATGCATATACTTAAAGATATTTATCACTTATTTTAAAGAAAGTATATTAATTTTTTATTGGTGTTGTGACAAATTATTACAAATATAGTGGATTAAGATGACACTCATTTATTTTCTTTTAGTTCTGGAGATTAAAAGTTTGAAATGAGTCTTGCAAGGCTAACTAATATCAAGAGGTTGCCAGGGCTGGTTTCTTCTGAAGGCTTCAGGGAACAATCTGTTCCTTTCCTATTCTAGCTTCCAGAGGCTGCTGGCTTTCCTTAGCTTGTAGCTCCATCACTCCAATTTCTGTTTCCTTGGTCACATCACCAACTTTTCTCTCTTGTTTCTTATTTATTTATTTATTTATTTTTGAGACAGAGTCTCGCTCTGTCACCCAAGCTGGAGTGCAGTGGCAGGTTCAACCTCCACTGCAACGTCCACTGCAACCTCCACCTCCCGGGTTCAAGCAATTCTCAGCCTCCCTAATAGCCTGGATTACAGGAATGTGCCACCACACCCAGCCAATTTTTGTATTTTTACTAGAGACAGGGTTTCGTCATGTTGGCCAGGCTGGTCTTGAACTCCTGACCTCAGGTGATCCGCCTGCCTCGGCCTCCCAAAGTGCTGGGATTACAGGCATGAGCCACCAAGCTCCCGCCTCCTGCTTCCCTTTTATAAGGACTGGTGATTACACTGTACTTGCCTGAATATTCCAATATAATATCACCATCTAAATATCTTTAACCCAATCACAACTGCAAATTCCCTTTACCATATAAAATAACATATTGACACCTTCCAGAGATTAGAACATGGATGTCTGTGAGGGCCATTATTTAGCCTACCACAAGAAGCATCAATTTAACTTTTAAAATGAGAAAATACGATAGAAATTTCTGTCTGGAAATTAGTAAAGTTTTATCTACTCTTTGAAAAAGAGGTCTATTTTTTCACATAATAGACCCTAATGAACTATATATTGCACCATGCAGAAATCTGTCTTATATTTTTTCTTTCTGAAATTTCAACTGTCAAAATATTGTTAATATCCTGAGAACAATTTGATACATTTATAATTGATCTATTTTTGCCCATGCTTTTTTTTTTACTAAATATGTATTATTCTCTTCTACACATACAAATATTCAGAAAATAAGTATAAGGAATTACATTAAGTAAGTGAAGGAAATTCACTCTCAGCTCTTAATATACACTGATTTTTCAGGTTGAAGGCTATCTTTACTACCAGAAGGACTGTAAAGTATGCTTTAAAAAGGGAGCTCGTAGTCTATAGAATTCATAAAATTTGAGGAATATACCTTAATCTAGAGTCTGGGGATTTTCTATCTTCATGGATTTCTTCTGCCTGTACTTATCACACTATTTGGCTTTGAAAGAAAATTATCAGCAAGGTGCTTAAAGAGCAGGAAATATATTAAATAAGTAAGTAAATGTTTATATAAAAATATTCTCAGGTCTGTTGGGTGTTTTCATGTCTCACTATTTAAATACTCCACTTTGAGTTATTCTACTCTGCCCCAGCTTCTGCTGAAAACTTGGAATATAAATATAGTATTAATTGTATTTTGTAGAACACAGTCTTTATTTTAACTAATTGTGATTTATATTCGCAATACAAAATAATTTTTAGCATTTGCTGTTTCTCTTAATGTAACTATTTACTCCCTAGGTGGAAAAGTTAATATAGTAAAGTAGAGAAAAAATTATGTTTTCTTAGATAGACTCAAGTTAACAATATAAGTAAAATATGATATAACATCTTATTATTAATATGATGTTAATAATATTAATTATTATTAATATCAATAATATCAATATTAACAATATAATAAAATATTTCTTAGAAAATGAAACATTTCAATTAAAGTTGAGAATTTTAAAACATAATTTAAAGTAATAGCTAATCAGATATGTTTAAATAAAATTATACACCCAAGTGCCTGCACATAATCATGTTTACTTAATGATATTTAGAAATAATGTATTGACTAACTACTTAATTCATTATAGTAACTACTATTTTCATCCTGTTCAGAAAATATTAATTAATCACCTATTATTTGCTGGGCATTATTTTAGAAACTGGGTAAAGAGCAGTGAATAATCTTACAAAATTCCTACCTACACAGTGTCTGATGGAGCCAGTTAGCATGGCTCATCCTAAGAGCTGATTGTGCTCACCTTGTTACAACCTCAGTGGCACCACATTTATGACTTCCAATTAGCCATGATGGAAGAATTAATGCTAAAGAGTAAATTGTATGGATTTAAATATATCAAGTAGAGATATTGGTGGAGGTGGGAGATTATGAACTTTCTATTGAGATTTTCTTTTTGATTTTTCAGAGATCATAAACTGAGAGTGAGGATGTAGAAGGGAGTTGCTGATTACTTTAGAAGATTAGAAAATGTAAGAACTGATCATCTAGGAGAATGGGAGAAAAGTATTATTGTCAAATAACATTAAGGTTCCTTTTATGTTGCAGATGGAACACTCAAAATAGAATAACTCAAAAAGAATTAATACACAAAGAGGTTATTTACAAAGGTGCAGGTGCAGAGAAACTATAATGGTTAATGCAGTATGTCAGGGGTAGAATGTTCCAGGAATTCACTGCTAGTCTGAAAGACATGAGAAAAAGAATTGCTAAAACTGGGAGAAGCTACTAGTAACTGAGAACACTTACTAGAACTGGTAGAATGGCAGCTATCAATGACATTTCCGCAAAAGACAGACAGCTCAAGATAAATTTGAGGGAGGGAACCAAGAGAATAGATTATCTGTCTTCACTCTCCCCATTTCCCTCTGGTTGCGTCCTAGGGTTTACCATTTGTCAAATCGAAAGTGAAGTTTGAAGATGTAAGGGATCCTGTTGATAGAATCCATATGCCTTGATCTTCTAAGGAAGCATTTAGAAAGTTAAAAAGAGTGGACCTCCTCTTGAGGCAATTAATCATAATTTTAAAGTTAGAAAAATCAATACACTTATTTTCTTCAGCCATGTTTATATTCAGACAAAAAGTAGCAAAAAAGCTGGATTTCAGTGAGGCTGCAAATTATGGCAGTTTGAGAAGACCAAAAGACTTGTTTATGCAAAATAGTGTTTAAAACTCAAGAGTAATCACAAGAAAGTATTATTGTTATTATCATTGTTAACCTTTTGTTAACTCTTAAGGAGAGAACAGAGGACACTCACAAACGAAAGAGAGTAAACCAAAGTTTATAGGTCTTATTGAGGTTGAAGGATTGTTAGAACAGAAGTACTAAAGGGAATAAGCTGCAAAGAAATCAGAAAGTGCTTGGGGGGTGGGATATTTAAAATTGAGATTATGGAGATGTTGCCATTTTAGTAACAACTAGCTCTAGGATATTTTCCTGTTTTAAGTGGCTAAAAAGGTGAAACAAAATCACTGGAAGAGAGGGAAATTTAGAAACTGTAAATCAGGACATTTTAGGAATCAAAGATATCATAATCTGAGTAGTACAAGAATGAGTAACAGCCAGTGTATTAATCAGGAATCTCCAGAGAAACAATCAATAGGATATACGGATGAGAGAGAAAGCGAGAAAGAGATTGAGATTTTAGAGTTGGTTCACATGATCATAGAACCAGCAAGTCTAAAACAACAATAACAAGATTTTTATGAGTTTTTACTCATAAGGTGCTTTTACACATTATCATTTTATTATAATCATTTCATAGGTAGTGTATTTGTACTATGTATTGTTGAGCTTGATCTTCTCTGAATGAAGAGCCGAGAAGTACAGCGTTTCACATTACAGACAGGCATGTCCAATTTAATAATCGCTTTCCAATTTTATCCTTAAGGCCATGCTGTCCTATTATTTAAAAATTGACAGAAAAAATGTTTTAGAGATTTTTAATGAAAGCAGAATTGCAAAGTTGTGATTATGGTGTATTGAGAGTGATTTAATAGATAATAAAAAATGATACAGTCACAGTCCAAAGAATTTCAGCATTTATTTTATGTCTGTAAATATAAGATGATAGCACCAGAGTTTATATACAAGTTTGCAGAAAGGTGACATGTTATTTTAGATATACTTACTTTATGATGTTGAGAGGAAAAAGTTAACCCAGGTGATCATTGAATCTATTGTATTATTTTAAGGATTTAGCTGAGAAGCCTAATTTAAATGTTTCTGGTTTATATTTAAAGGCAGAAAAATAATTACTTCGGTATTAATCCTAAACATTGAATCTTTCCCCAAATCAGGGTGCCATTATTTTTAAAAAACGTACTCAGGTACAATCGGCATACAAAAAATTGTTCCTATTTAATGTATACATTTTGATGATTTGGAGAGATGTATACAGCCATGAAGCCATCACCATTATCTATGCTCTAAGCATATTCATCACCTCCAAGGATTTCCTCCTGCCCTCTGTATTATTTTTTTCTTCAGTCTCATTTTTTTCTTTGTATAGAGAAGTGTAATAAACTAAGGTAGTAATTTTAATTTCAAAATAACTAGCTGAGTATTATCAATATGTTTACTTGAATCTTTTGAACACAATGATACAAACGATTTTGAAAAATAAATTTGTTATTGTTGGGTTTCTGCCACTTAAAATATTCATATTAGGACTAAATATTTCTCTCTATTGTTTAAACATTTTGTAAATTAAATTGTTCTAACACCCTGTTAAACAATTTATTTCCTCTATGTCTTACATTCTACTGTTGAGCCTGTCCACTGAGCTTAATTCAGTTGGTTGTTTTTTCAACAAATAAATATATGCCACTTACGTGACAGGCACTACTGAATCAGAAATGAAGTAAGCACAACATCAGTTCTCAAAGTGATCTCAGCGTAAAGAGAGTGGAACCCCAATGTAGGGGTAATTATATAGAGAAGATGAACTTCTATATACATGAGTAGATTTGGGGACAGGGTGAAAGTCTACTCTACTTTAGAATGTTGTGCAATATTTATATGCGTACGTTTCTCTTGAAAGAGTGACTTCATATGTTTCATTTGAAAAGCAAAAGGCCCATGACTCCCAACAAGTCAAGAACTACTGCCTTAAAGGAGGAGTAAGATTTAACTAGAGTAAGAGAAGGCAGGTAAAGTTTCCTAGGCAGACGGGGCAGGGATGAGTAAAGATACAAAGACACAGAGAATCAGAAATAGATCACAGAGCCCAATGTGCTTATCATAACACTAAACTTTACTTAATCATCAACAGAGAGCTATTGAAAGGATTTAAAGCAAAATAAAAGCATGTTCAAATTTAGGCTTTAGAAAAATCACTTGGACAGTTGCATGGGGGATGAATCAGAGAACTAGACTAGAGGTTTATAGACTAAATAGAAGCTTGATACTATACTCCAGGACAGAGATGATGATGGTCCACATGGAGAAGATTATGTGAGAAGATCTGATAATGTAGGAACTAAGCATCTAGGAGAATGAGAGAAAAGTATTATTGTCCAACAACATTAAGGTTCTTTTCATGTTGCAGATGGAACACTGAAAATAGAATAACTCAAAAAGAATTAATACACGAAGAGGTTATACAGTAAATAGAAGCCTGGTACTATATTCCAGGACAGAGATGATGATGGTCCACATTGAGGCAGTGTAAGTAGGGGTGCAGAAACAGAGATGGATTTCAGATACATTTAGGATAAAAATGATAAGTTGATATGATTGATTGAATAAAAGAAATTTATGAAATCTATAAAAGTCTATATAAAAGTGAACTTTTCCTTCTAGCAATATGGAATAACAGATGCTCTGTTTTAGGATAGTTTCCTTGGAAAACAGCTTAAGGCAAAGCTTATATGCCACGGTTTTATTGAGAGGTGGAATTATAGGTAAGAAAGACAATAATGAGAGGAAAGGTATTGGAAGAAAATGCAATAGACTGGTTAGTTACTGAGTTGGTTCCACTTCACAAGAAAACTACTGTTTGCTCAGTCACATGAGATGTGTAGAAACTCTGCACATCAGAACACCCTGGAGGTTGAGAGAGGCAAAAGGCACTTACACATTCTTTCCCATCTTCTGCTTCACATAGCACAAAGCTTTCCCCAGGAAGCACTAAATCTCTTATGCTTCCGGGATGTGTTAGATAATTTGGTCAGCTGCTGGAGACTGCAGATCCCATGCCCAGAGGGGAGGCAATTCATGTAAGTCCAGAAGTAGCGGAAGAAGTCAAAGCATCCGTGAACCTAGTCATGGCAGGCCTGTGTACTGGAACTCCTTGGGTTTCCACTACAGTTGTCATAATGGGCCTGTAAAAAAGCCCCTAGGCTTAGAGGTTGTGGCAAATTGACTTTCATGGGTGGCCAGACAAGGCCTGGGTGGCAGCAGCCGCTAAATACAGCAACAGAACCATTTAGAGAATCCACGCTTAATACCGCAATCTGAGAAAAAAAAAAAAGGAGGAGAAAGTCCCATTCTTCATCATGGTAGCCAGCTACAATCTCCTAAAAAAGGCATAACTATAATTATGAATCAAAAAATTGCCATCTCTTCTGAATCTTTCTTTGTTGTCACTCTGACTTTAAATCTTTCTCTCTCATCTCCTCCTCATTCTTCCTTTCTTTCTTGTTCTCTCCTCTCCTCCTTTTCTTCTCCCCTTTTCTCTTCTCTTCTTTCTGCTTTTTCCTTCCTTCCTTCCCTCCCTCCCTCCTTTCTTTTTCTCTTTTCTCTCTTTCTTTTTCTTTCTTTCCCTCCCTCCCTTTTTCTTTTTCTTTTTCTTTCCTTCCTTCTTTCTTTCTCTTCCTGTTTGTCTGTCTTTCTTTCCTTCTTTCCTTCCTTCCTTCCTTCCTTCCTTCCTTCCTTCCTTCTTTTTCCATTTCCTTACTTCCTTTTAGTTCCCTTTTATATTCCTAATGGAAAATCGAGGAAGTCACGTCAAGAATCACTGTTATATTGAATGTTAGTAAACTGAGAATATAGACATATCCATGCTTTTTCAAAAAAGCACCATATGAATTTAGATAAATTTCTTTTCCCATGACCTAATTTTAATTTTTATTGTTAAAATTTAATAAGTTGGAAATACCTCACATAACTTCTGTTCACTTTGACTTGGTATTTTGACTCAAACTTAATTATTTGTAGAAGATAATTTTTCTTAATTTTAATATCAAGCAATGAGAAATATATAGTTTATACAGGTGAAAGAGGTTGGAAAATCCATGAAATAGAATGCATCTTTTTATCTGTGGATGTATCTCTACATGTGTGAAGAGGAGCTGGTTCTGTTTCTTTTTTATTTTCATATTATAGAAAAATAAAATGTTAATGTGAAATCAGAGTGTATTTAGAAACTCAATAATTGGAACTTCATGAAAAAGAAAGATAAACAAAAATCTCTTATAAGAGCACATATTTTGAATTGATGGGAGCAAGAAAGACAGGGCAAATGAACCAGAAATCAATATTGAACTTGGATAATTACAAATAGAAACAGATCAGAACTCTCACTATTATCATATAGGACTTAGGTACTTAATACCATGATTAGGAATTTAGCTTTATTTAGCTATTTGTCCATTCTTATGTTCCCTTCCTTCTAAAATGTTTAAATAAGGTTCTGTTTTCATAATTGTTTCACCACCAACATTTGAATATATAGTCAGAAAATGAATATATAGCATGGCCTTTCAGCTACTGTGTTGGGGAGTGTTTGGAGAGGGGTTCAAAGCATGCCACTGTGAATGTCCTCCAAGAGCTGGAAATAAGTAATGTGGCATCTCAATTTGTCAAGCAGTCCATAAACCATAAATAGGTTTATGACTATTGTTTTGTCATATTATTAATATGACACTATTAATAGTGCACCACTCAGTCTCGAATGTGTTCTAGTGTGGATGATAAAAAAAAGAACTCAAAAATGAGGGCAAGAAGATTTCCATTAGGTAATTCAAGTATAAAATTAACAGAATGGTTCAGATTATAGGTAGAAAGACTCATCTTAAAGCTAGAATAAGAAGTAATTAAAGGTAAGCATTCAAAATAGAAAGTAAGAAAGAAAAGTGTTCCTGTTTGAAGATAACATTTGCTTATGTAGAAAACCCTAATGACTCCATAAAAAAAGCTGGTAGAACGAATCAACAAATTCAGTAAATTTGCAGGATACAAATCAACATGGAAAAATCAGTTGTGCTTCCATACAGTAACAATAAACTTTATTTAAAAATTAGAAAAACAATGTAATTTACAATAGCAAAAGGAATAAAATACTTAAACTTAACAAGGAAAAGGGTTGTTTACTAAAAACTACAAAGCACTGATGAAAGAAATTACACTAAACACAAACAACTGGAAAGACATTTTGTGTTCATGAATGGGAAGACTTAATATTGATAAACTGTCCGTGCTGCCTAAAGTGATCTATAAATTTCATGAAGTTCCTATTAAAATCTCAATGGCAAGCCACCATGGCACATGTATCCTGGAACTTAAAGTAAAATAAATAAATAAATAAATAAATAAATAATCAAGTAGAGTTTCTCATCTGAAAAAAATATAAATTATTGTATTTGTCTTTGTATTCAAGAATACGATTCTTGAATTTGTGTTTTTTTCAAGATGGCAGATTATAGGATTTTTGCATACTTCTGCCAATTCGAAATATTGAGATAGTGCATAAAGATCAACTCTGTGAGCTTTAATTCAGGAAGGAAAATGGGAATCCACTGGAATAAGGAAGGATATCCCAGATTCTGGGGAGGAAAATGCAGACAGATAAACCCTGTGATGGCATCCACCTGACAAAGGTGAGTGAGGCCTCAAGACATGAGACATGCACTGTGACTCACCTTTTCACTGGGGATCTAAACAACCCAGGCTATGGGAAAGAACTTTGTTTCTTCCAAGCCCTGGAGCTAACTTGGGAGGGAGACTTAAAGATTCTGTGAGAAAAACACACCAGGAAAAGCTACAGGCATTTTCCCTGACATAAAACTGAGAGCAGCATGTTATTTTTAATCCAGGGACAAAGTCAGCCATTCCTTAGTGCCTCAACAGTGTAGCTGTGCAGGCATTTTAATCTCAGGCCAGAGATTGAAGTGTCTGCTCTGGAGCACAGTAGGGGTTTCCACAGCCAGTACTGTGGAAAGCATCTCAAAAGTAGGTACTTGAATTATACTGTCTTCTGTCACAGGCCTGTGGTGGGAGGAGAGTTGCTACAGTTGTAGTTTCTCCTGGACAATAAGACTTGCAGCCAGGGCCAGCTCGGTGACCTAGAATCAGTCTTCATGTGTCATTGTTGGGTGTCCTAGCCTGTTTCCCTGAGATCCTGGTGTAGCAGGACCCTCTTCACTCTGCCCTAGGTAGAAATCCAAGCATTTAGAGCACTAACTTGCCTGGACCAGAAGCTTGAGCCAACCCACCCTTCCAACCCCGCTACGTGTCTGCTCCACATGTCGGCAGATCTCCAGGCATTTGGAGCACCTGCTCACATGGACTAGCAGCCTGAGTTGGCCTACCTTCCCAGTGCAGAGATCCTGTGCAGGGGGCCCTCTCTGCTTCATGTCCAAGCACATGTTTAGGCACTTGGAGCACTTGCTCACCTGGTTCAGCTGAGCCTCCTCACCCTTCATGGGCATAGATTTTAGTGCAGCAGAGCTCTCTCCACTCCATGTCCAGGCAAATCTCCAGGCATTTGGAACACTCACTCACCTGAATCAGCAGCCTAAGCCACCTCAACCTTCCTGGACATAGATCACAGTGCAATGAGGATCTCTCTACTCTACACCCAAGCAGATCTCCAGGCATTCAAAGCACCTGCTTACCCAGACTAGAAGCCTGAGTCAGCCTACCCTTCCTATGCATATACTCTGGTGCAGGGGAATCCTCTCTGCTTCATGCCCACATAAATCTTTAAGCATTCGGAGCACCTGCTTGCCTGTTTTAGCAGCCTGAGCCACCTCGCCCTTCCTGTGCAGAGATCTGAGTGCAAGGAGGCCCTCTCTGCTTCATGATCAGGAAGATCTCCATGCATCTGGAGCACTCACTCTCCTGGATTAAGTGTTTAGGCTGTCCCCATCTGTGTGCAGAAAATTTGGGGTGAGTTTTCTCAACTCCATACCCAGGCACACCTCTGAACGCTTGGTGGCTGCCCAGTTGATTCTCCCTCAATGCTGGTTCTTGTGCCTGCTATTGAGGGGTCTATAAGAGAACCTGCCTGGTCCAGACCTGCCCATCTTGCCCCATTCCCCCCTGGGCTGAAGAGGGAGCTCAGACCACTGAGTGCTCCATAAGTCAATCCATTGCCTAAGGTAACAGAGAAATTCTCCAGGTAAACAAGGATGAAATATTTACCCAGCAGCACTGACTACCACAAGCTCTGACCCATCGGGGCCCTCTACTGGCTTGTAGGTTGAACTTCACATAATATAAACCTGCTGACAGAAGTGCATAGGGCTATAGAAGCAAAGCCAAAAGACCCTACACAATATTCTCTGCAATCACACCACCTGGTAGGGGGTGGGGCGGAGGGGAGAGAAAGGGGAAGGAAGAAGAAAATAATATCATGGTGATAGAAAGAAAAAAATATCCTACCTGCATGAAAAATTTACAAAAATTACAAGTGCCAGTATCGCAGATGAGAAGGAACCAGAGCAAGAATTCTGCGAAATGAAAAATCTGAATGTAGTGATACCACCAAAGGATCACACTAGATCTCTAGCAATGGTCCCTAACCAAAATGGAAACTCAGAAATGACAGATAAAGAATTCAAAGTATGGATTTCAAGCAAGCTCAATGAGATTCAAGATGAGGTCGAACATCAACACAAATAAACTCTTCAAGCAATCAAGGAAATAAATGAAGAGATAATCATCTCAGAAAGAAATGAATTGGAGATTCTGGAATTAAAAAAACTTATGGAATTTCAAAATACAATTGAAAACTTTATTAATGGACTGGACCAAGCGAAGAAAGAATTTCAGAGCTTGAAGAATGATCTTTCAAACTGATCAACTCAGAGAAAAATAAAAAAGAATTTTTAAAAATGAACAGTTTTGAGAAATATGGGATTTCTCAATACGTAAAGCAATGAAACCTGTGAACTACTTGCATTCCTGAGAAAAATATAAGAAAAAAAACAACAACTGGGAAAACATATTTGAGGGAGTAATTTAAGAAAATTTTCCTAATCTTGCTAGAGAGTTAGACATCCACATTCAAGAAACATCTAGACAACACCTGCAAGATGCTATACAAAACTAACATCACTAAGGCAAATAGTCACCACACTGTTCGAGACCAATGCTAAAAAAAAAAACATAATAAAGGCAGCTAGAGAAAAAGGTCAGATTATGTACAAAGGGAACCACATGAGGCTAAGAGTGGATTTTTCAGCCAAAATCTTAGAAACCAGAAGAGACTGGGTGCCTATTTTCAGCATTCTGAAAGAAAAGAAATTCAAACCAAGAATTTCATATCTCACCAAACTAAGCTTTATAAGTGAAAGATAAATAAAATATTTTCCAGACAAACAAGTGCTAAGGGAATTCATTACCACTAGATAAATTTTATGAGAGATACTTAAGGGAGTTATAAACATAGAAATTAAAAAAAAAAAAGATACTTACTACCACAAGAAACACACTAAAGCATGTAGTTCACAAACCCTATAAAGCAACTACACAATAGAAACTACAAAGCAAACAATTCCATGATAGGATCAAAATCTCATGTATCAATATTAACCTTGAACGCTAATGGTCTAAACACCCCACTTAAAAGGCACAGAGGGCCAAGTAGGATGAACAAAGAAGACCCACCTTTCTGCTGGCTCCAGGAGTGCTATCTCACATGTAACAACACCAATAGGCTCAAAGTAAAGTGTTGGATAAAAATCTGTCACACAAATAGAACACAAAAAAGAGGAAAAGTCACTATTCTCATATCAGATAAAACAGACTTTAAACCAACAACAGTAAAAAGTGACAAAGGAAGTCATTACATAATGATAAAGAATTAAATTCAACAAGAAGATTTAACTATCCTAAATATACATGCAACCAATATTAGAACACCTCGATCTATAAAAAAAATTACCTCTAGACCTAAAAAAGACTTAGACTGCCACAAAATAATCTTGGGAAACTTCATCAACCCACTGACAGCACTAGAAAGATCAGCAAGGCAGAAAGCTAACTAAGAAATTCTGTACTTAAATTCAACACTTGACCAGTTGGACTGAGTAGACATCTACAGAATAATTCACCCAACAGTCACAGAATATACATCCTCTCATCTGCACACGGAACATACTCCAAAACCAACCACATGCTTGGTCATTTAGCAACTCTTAATAAATTAAAAAAATCAAAATCATACCAACAATACCTTCAGACCACTGTAGAATAAAAATAGAAATCACTACGAAGTAGATCTCTAAAGACCACAAAATAACATGGAAATTAAACAACTTGCCCCTCAATGAATTCCAGTTAAACAACAAAATTAAGGCAAAAAAAAATCTTTAAAATAAGTGAAAATAGAGACACAACATACCAAAATCTCTGGGATGTAGCAAAAGCGGCATTAAGAGGAAAGTTTATAGTACTAAATGCCTACATCAAAAAGTTAGAAAAATCTCAAAATAAAGATCCGACATCATAATTTGAGAACTAAAGAAACACGAAAACCTAACCTAAAGCTACCAGAAGAAAAGAAATAATCAAAATTAGAGCAGAATAAAATTGAAACCAAAAAATTCAAACAAAGAATCAGTGAAACAAGGAGTTGGCTGTTTGAATAGATAAACAAGATCAATAGACCACTCTCTAGATTACCAAAGGAAACGAGAAACTGAAGTTATTGATTTTTTTTTTCTAAAAAAGCATTTTGTGTTACAAATTTTCTCCTGTGATTGGATGTAATTGCACTAAACAAATATTGAAATGTTAGGTTTCTATTTTCATTTAGTTTAAAATATGTTTATTTCTCTTTTGATTTTTTTCTTAGGCTCATAAATTGTTTAGAATGTAGTATTTTTCTATTATTTAAATATATTTAAATTCTTGAATACACTGAAATAAAATGTTATTGATATCCAACTCAATTCCATTGTGGACAGAGGATATATTTTGTTTTACTTAAAGGCTATTTAATTTAATAAGACAGTTTGTATGGTTTAATGCATGGTCAATCTTGGTAAATATTCCATGTACACTTAAAAATAATGTGTTCTGTTCTTGTCAGTTGAAGTGTTTTATAAATGTTAATTAGACAAAATTCATTGATGGTAATGTTCAAGTTTTCTATACCCTTACTAATTTTTGACTATAATTGAAAATTTGCCTATTTATGTTTGAAGTTCTGTAAAAACTTGCTAAATATACTTTAAAACTTTGTTAATGGGTATATAAATGTTTAAAATTGCTACATGATCTTGATGAATTGAAACCCTTATTTTCATGAAATAAACTCCTATATCCCTGGTATGATTATTTGATCTGAAATCTATTTTTTTTTCTGATATTAATGTTGCCATTTGAACTTTCTTCTGGTGTTAGCATAGTGTATCTTTCTTTTGTTCTTTGATGGCTGACAGATTATAGTACCTAACTATAAAGTGAGTTTCTTGAATGTAGAAAATATTGTTTATTTTTTATTCAATCTAACAATATTTTCCTTTCAATTGGATAATTTGGAAGTTACATTAATTATGATTATCAATATGTTTGAATTTACATCTACCCTCTTATTATTTGTTTTCTTCTTATTGCGTATGATATTTCTTTCTTTGTTATTTTTCTTCTGATGTTTTGGGATTAATTGAGCAATCCTTTTTAGTTCATTTCAACTCTCTTGTTTGCTTATTAACTATAATTTTGTTGTTTTATATTAGTGGTTGTTTTGCATCTATTGTATATATCTTTAGCTTAATATACTCTCTCTTCAAGTGATATCATGCTACTTCATGTATGGTATAATGACCTCAGAGTAGCTTACTTCAATCTCTCCTCTCCAGAGCTTTGTGTTATTGATGTCATGTATTTTACTTTTCATGTTATATTCCTCAAGAAAACGTTCTTATTAGTTTTGCTTTAAATAGTCAATTATTATTTGAAGATGTTAAAAAATAATGTCTTTTTGTTAACCCATGTAGTTGCCAATTCTAACACTCTTTTATCCCTTTTGTAGATCCAGTTTTCCTCCCCTTATTTTTCTTTTTCTAGAAGACCATTTAACATTTCTTTTGGTGCATATATCCTTTTGTCTGAAAAATGCATTATCCCTCTTTTTTTAGAAAAATATTTTTACTGGGCAAAAAATTCCAAGTTGACAGATATTTTCTTTCATTATTTTAAAGACGTGGCTCCACTGTTTTATGCTACTGAAAGATAAGAATTATACCAAGGTATATTATGCTAGTTAACTTACTTAATAATGCTGGGTATACTAGCATTGTTTCTGAAAAAAAAAAAGCCACTTGTCACCCTTATATTTGCTTTTTTTCCTCTTATTGCTTCTAAGGTTTTCTGTTACTGGGTTTAAGCAATATGACCTTAATGACCTTAGTGGTTCTCATCATGTTTCTTGCTCTTGCAGTTTATTAAGCTGGTTTTATCTGTGGCTTTATAGTTTCACTCAATTTGGATAATTTTCAGCTCTTATTTTATTTCTTCAAATAATTTTTGTCTTCGGTCTTCAGGAACACCATTCACACATCTAGTTGTTCAGTTAAAGTTGTCTCACAGTTCATTGTTGTCTCGATTTTTAAAAAGTTTTTCCTGTCTGTATTCTATTTTGTAAGCTTCATATTGCTAAGTTTTAATTTCACTAATATTTTCTTCTGAAGTGTCTAATCTACCATAAATTTCATCCAGTGTATTTTTTCTCTGACATTGCAGTTTTCATCTCTAGGAGACTGTGTGTATGTGTGTGTGTGTGTGTGTGCGTGTGTGTGTGTGTGTGTGTGTGTGTGACTTCTCGACTTAGGATCTTCATACTTTAATTTCTTTAACATATATATATATGTTTTCAATGCTATTTAAATGATTTTTATCATTTATTTCATTTTTAGGTCAGTTTCTATTGATTTACTTTTCTTTTCACTTGGGTAGTATTTTGCTGCTTCTTTACATATCTAGTAACTTTTTTTGGATGCTGGACATTGTGAATTTTATATTTGTAGATGTTGGATATTATTTCTTCTTGAGATTTCTTTCAGAACACAGTTACGCTATTTGAAAATAACTTGTTATTTTTGAGTCCTGCTTTCATGGCTTTAATTTTTATTTTTTCAAGAGGAAACATTGATCTAGTATTAATTTCCCTCACTGCTGAGAAAGACCCTTATCATACTCTAGCTAACAGACCAGCAAATATTTTTCTGTAAAAGAAACATGTATAATTGTATTTATATATAATAGTGCACAGTTTATGCTTGGTAAGTCATATATGATTTCTGTAACATATTTATTTGTTTCTATGTGTGTATGTTTGCTTTTTACCTCTGTTTAATATGTACAAATTATTTATCTCAAATTCTATCCCAAAATAGATCATAGGTCAGATTTGACTAACAGGCCAAAGTTGCCAAAGCCAGCTCTAACTGATCACTGGAATAAAAAGATTTTCCACTTCAGCTATTGTAAACAGGTATTATTTTCTGCCCTTTGTGAACTTTAAGTATAATTTGCCCTAATTATTTTGTGTGGTTCTTTTGCTACCCTTGTTTAGGTTTCTTATACACATTCATTAATTACATACATTAATTATATACATTAATTAATTAAAATACACATTAATTATACACATTCATTAATTAAAACTATTTACAGATTCCTAAAGAGTAGACTTTACAAATTTCCCAAGTTATTTCCATGTGCAGTTTTCTCTTTTATAGAACTCTTTCCTGTGAACTTTTTCTGCTTTGAAATCCCCAGAGCCACAGCTCTACATCTTCAATTCAGAGACTGCTGACTATTGTACCTCAACAAATTGGTCAAAAATCAATTGTAGATCCACTTCAGGACTCTTTATTCTGTTCAATCAATTCATTTGTTTATCCTCATGCCGATACCACTTTATCTTGATTGCTATAGTTTTATATTACATCCTTAAACTAAATAATATATGCCCTCCAATTTTGACAAGAAATTGTTCATATTTTTTTATTAACATGTATATTTTATATATACATGGGAGATACCAGGGAATGAGTAATTCTCATAGAGGTGAATTTGAATTACAGCTTATATAGCATCGTTAACAAAGTAAAGGAAAATTTTAGAGAAGCGACAAAACAAAGGAAAGGAACTTTGAATGTGCAGAATAGCAACTTGTGGAAAGGTAAACTAAGGGCAATTAACGGCAAGTTAGGAAAGCTGGTTAATGTAGATTCCACTGCTACCATCTCCACCGGCTAATGTTGTCTTAAAGGGTTAACATTTCTTCTCTCTGGTAGGTGAGGGCATGGAAACCCTTTGCCTTTGCACATTTATATCCTGCTTTTAGGCACATGGAGGGCAGAGTGCTTTCCTGCATCTCCTCCTTCATTGCCTTTGGCTCAATCATCCTGTATACCTTGGTGTGGCATATTCTGGTTTCCAATAGGCACAAAAGTTCCCATGTCTTACACCTTACCGGGGTTTTCAAAGCACTACTCAGATGCAGAAAATTTGATATTAACAAGGTTAAGAAGCATCAACCAACCCCTCTCTGTTTCTTGATAGCACCTTTGTTACCGGAAAGGGGCCTTTCATGCGTGTCCCTGTGAAGAGACCACCAAACAGGCTTTGTGTGAGCAACATGGCTGTTTATTTCACCTGGGTGCAGGTGGGCTGAGTGGGAAAAGAGAGTCAGTGAAGGGAGATAAGGGTGGGGCCATTTTATAAGATTTGGGTAGGTAAAGGAAAATTACAGTCAAAGGGGGTTTGTTCTCTGGCGGGCAGGAGTGGGGGTCGCAAGGTGCTCAGTGGGGGTGGTTTTTGAGCCAGGATGAGCCACAGAAAGGACTTTCACAGGGTAATGTCATCACTTAAGTCAAGGACTGGCCATTTACACTTCTTTTGTGGTGAAATGTCATCAGTTAAGGTGGGGCAGGGCATATTCACTTCTTTTGTGATTCTTCAGTTACTTCAGGCCATCTGGACATATATACGTGCAAGTCACAGGGGATGTGATGACTTGGCTTGAGCTCAGAGGCCTGACATTCCTGCCTTCTTATATTAATAAGAAAAATAAAATAAAATAGTGTTGAAGTGTTGGGGCAGCGAAAATTTTTGGGGGGTGGTATGGAGAGAGAGAATGGGTGATGTTTCTCAGGGCTGCTTCCAGTGGGATTAGGGGTGGTGTGGGAACCTAGAGTGGGAGAGATTAAGCTGAAGGAAGATTTTGTGGTAAGGGGTGATATTGTGGGGTTGTTAGAAGAAACATTTGTGTAGAATTATTGATGATGGCCTGGATACGGTTTTGTATGAATTGAAAAACTCAACGGAATAAGAGAAGGAGAAAAACAGGTATAAAAGGTCTAAGAATTGGGAGGACCCAGGACATCTGATTAGAGAGTGCCTAAGGAGATTCAGCATAGTCCTGCCAGCAAAGATTATTTATTTACTTCATGAGTTTAGAGTGGCAGTTTGGGGATAGCACCAGGAAATACCAGCTGTGATGGCTTGGAGAAACAGTGTAAACTGGCAGTGTAAACAAGAGCAGGTCATGTATGAGTAGTTGAGAACGGTGAATAGGAGTATGACTAGACAGAAGATAGTAGGGATGACAACTTTTTGGGGCACAGTCTAAGTTGGTCTGGTGTCTGGAATGAGACTGGGGCCTAATAAAAAGGAGTGTCTATACAGGAGCTTAAATGGGCTGTACCTTGTAGCATCCCAAGGACAGGCCTGAATTCTGAGAAGCGAAAGTGGTAAAAGTATTGTCCAGTCCTTTTTAAGTTGGTGGCTGAGCTTGGTGAGGCATGTTTTTAATAGACCGTTAGTCTGTCACTGAATACTAAGAGCCTGAAAAGATGCCTGGCTGATTTGACTAATAAAGGTTGGTCCGTTATCAGACTGTATAGAGGTGGGAAGGCTAAACTGAGGAATTATGTCTGACAGAAGGGAAGAAATGACTGTGTTGGCCTTCTCAGACCCTGTAGGAAAGGCCTCTACCCATCCAGTGAAAATGTCTACCCAGACTAAGATATATTTTAGTTTTCTGACTCAAGGCATGTGAGTAAAGTCAATTTGCCAGTCCTGGGCAGGGGCAAATCCCAGAGCTTGATGAGTAGGAAAGGGAGGAGGCCTGAACAATCCATGAGGGGTAGTAGAATAGCAGATGGAACACTGAGAAGTGATCTCCTTGAGGATAGATTTCCATGACGGAAAGGAAATGAGACGTTCTAAGAGACGGGCTAGCGGCTTGTAACCTACATGGAAGAGGTTATGAAATGACGACAGAATAGAATGGGACTGTGAGGCTGGAAGGAGATATTTTCCTTGGTCTAAGAACCATTTGCCTTGTGTGGGAAGAGATTGATAGGTGGAAGTTTCAGCAGGGGAGTAGGTGGGAGTGACCGATGTGAAGGAGAAAAACTGGCTGTGAGGGACAGAAGTTGGAGAGCTAGCTGCTTGTCTAGCCACCTTATCAGCATAAACATTGCCTAGAGCAATGGGATCTGATGTCTTTTGATGCCCCTTGCAGTGAATGACCCCAGCTTCCTTTGGAAGTAAAGTGGCCTTGCGTAGAGTTTTTATTAAAAAGGCATTAATGATGGAGGACCCCTTGTGTAGTGAGAAAACCTCTTTCAGCCCATATGACCACATGGTGGTGCAGAATATGAAAGGCATATTTAGAATCAGTATAGATATTGACACGTAGTCCTTTTGCAAGAGTGAGGGCTTAAGGCAACTAGTTCGGCTTGCTGAGAGGTAGTGGAGGGGGGCAGAGTGGTAACCTCAATGATAGATGTGGAAGATACTATAGCATAGCCTGCTTTTTCTGGTGAGTGGCGATTAGTCCTGGTGGAACTTCCATCAATAAACCAAGTGTGATCAGGGTGAGAAACAGGGAAGAAGGAAATGTGGGGAAAGGGGGTGAACGTCAGGTGGATCAGAGAGATGCAGTCATGAGGGTCAGGTGTGGTATCCGGAATAATGTGGGAGGCCGGATTGAAGTCCGGGCCAGGAACAGTGGTAATTGTGGGAGACTCAACAAAGAGTGAGTATAGCTGAAGGAGCTGGGAAGCAGAAATTATATGCGTCAGGTATGAGGAAGAAAATAGATTTTGGAAGTTATGAGAACTGTAGAGAGTGAGTTGAACATAGTTTGTGATTTTGAGGGCCTCTAAATGTATTAAAGCAGTGGCAGCTGCTGCACGCAGACATGAGGGCTAGGCTAAAACAGTAAGGTCAAGTTGTTTGGACAGAAAGGCTACAGGGTGTTTTCCTGGCTCTTGTGTAAGAATTCTGACCATGCTAACCATGCCTAGGAAGGAAAGGAGTTGTTGTTTTGTAGAAGGTACCGGGGTTTGAGAGATCAGTCGGACACGATTGGCAGGGAGAGCACATGTGTTTTTATGAGAATTATGCCGAGATAGGTAACAGATGAGGAAGAAATTTGGGCTTGACTGAAGTAAGGGGGGCTGTCTGTGAAGCTTTGTGGCAGTACAGCCTAGGTAATTTGCTGAGCTTGATGGGTGTCAGGGTCAGTCCAAGTGAAAGCAAAGAGAGGCTGGGATTAAGGGTGCAAAGGAATAGTAAAGAAAGCATGTTTGAGATCTAGAACAGAATAATGGGTTGTAGAGGCAGGTATTGAGGATAGGAGAGTATATGGGTTTGGCATCACGGGGTGGATAGGCAAAACAATTTGGTTGATAAGGCGCAGATCCTGAGCTAACTGTAAGGCTTGTCTGGTTTTAGGACAGGTAAAATTGGGGAATTGTAAGGAGAGTTTATAGGCTTTAAAAGGCCATGCTGTAGCAGGTGAATGATAACAGGCTTTAATCTTTTTAAAGCGTGCTGTGGGATGGGATATTGGCATTGAGTGGGGTAAGGGTGATTAGGTTTTAATGAGATGGTAAGGGGTGCATGATCTGTCACCAAGGAGGGAGTAGAGGTATCCTATACTTGTGGGTTAAGGTGGGGGGATAAAAGAGGAGGATGTGAAGGAGGCTCTGAACTGGGGGAAAAGGTGGCAATGAGGCGCAGCTGTAGCCCAGGAATAGTCAGGGAAGCAGATAATTTAGTTACAGTGTCTCGGCCTAATAAGGGAACTCGGCAGGTGGGGATAACTAAAAAGGAGTGCTTAAAAGAGTATTGTCTAAATTGGCACCAGATTTCAGGAGTTTTAAGAGGTTTACAATCCTGGTCGTCAATACCCACAACAGTTATGGAGGCAAGGGAAACAGGCCCTTGAAAAGAAGGTAATGTGGAGTGGGTAGCCTCCGTATTGATTAAGAAGGGGACAGACTTACCCTCCACTGTGAGAGTTACCCAGAGCGTCTGTGATGGTCCTGTAGGCTTCCGAGGCGATTGGGCGGTGTCAGTCTTCAGCTGCTAAGCTGAGAAGATCTGGGAAGGAATCAGTCAGAGAGCCTTGGGCCAGAGTCCTGGGGGCTCTGGGAGTGGCTGCCAGGTGAGTTGAACAGTCCGATTTTCAGTGGGGTCCCACACAGATGGGACGCAGCTTAGGAGGAATCTCAGGCTGCAGGCATTCCTTGGCCTGGTGGCCAGATTTCTGGCACTTGTAGCAAGCTCCTGGGGGAGGCAGGCCTGGAGGAACGCCTGGCCGCTGCAGTTCAGGCGTTTGGAAGTTCTTGTGTGCTGGAGATATGGCTGCGGTTTGTCTCACAGTGGAGACAAGGAATTGCCTTTTTTCTATTATTTTACACCTTGAAGGCGAGGTTAATTAAGTCCTGTTGTGGAGTTTGAGGGCTGGAATTTAATTTTTGGAGTTTTATTTAAAGTTGGGAGTGGATTGGGTAATAAAATGTATACTGAGAATAAGACGGCCTTTTGACTTTTTGGGTCTAGGGCTGTAAAGCGTCTCAGGGTTGCTGCCAAATGAGCCGTGAACTGGGCTGGGTTCTTCATATTTGATAAAAAAGAGCCGAAACGCTAACTGATTTGGGAGAGGTCGGATACAGAAAAAGGAGCATCAACCTTGACTATGCCTTTAGCTCCAGCCACCTTTTTAAGAGGAAATTGCTGGGCAGGTTGGGGTTGGGGGGCTAGTTGCAGAACAAAACCGTAAGTCTGACCGGGTGTGAGGAGGGGAGGTTATAAAAGGATTATAGGGTGGAGGAATGGAGGCTGAGGAAGAATTGGGACCTAGCTCAGCCAGGCAAGGAGGGGAGATGTCAGATGGGTCTGTAGAAAAGGAAGATTAGAAAGACTCAGCAACACTTGGAGTTGGGACTGAGGGGACAGGCGGGAGGGAAAGGAGGAAGATTTGGGATGAGTTACATTGGGCACAGAGACTAGGAAGGGACCGATGTGTAAAAGAATGCCTGGACGTCAGGCACCTCAGACTGTTTGCCTATTTTACAAGAATTATTTAGATCTTGCAGTATGGAAAAATTGAAAGTGTGGTTTTCTGGCTATTTGGAACTACTGTCGAGTTTGTATTGGGGTCAAGCAGCATTGCAGAAGCAAATAAGGCATTTAGGTTTTAGGTCAGGTGTGAGTTGAAGAGGTTTTAAGTTTTTGGGAACACAAGCTAAGGGAGAAGAAGGAGGAATGGAGGGTGGAAGATTGCCTATAGTGAAGGAGGAAAGTTTAAAGAAAAGGGAGAGTAGAGACACGGAGGGAAGTGGTTCGGGGGTTCTTACCCTCCAGAAAAGCAGGAAAGGGGTTGGGGCGCACAGATACGAAGTTGGGGCACAGAAATAAGGGATCAGGGTGCAGAGATATAAGAGGTTAGGGCGTGAAAATAAGGGATCGGGGTGCAGAGATACGAGGCTGGGGTACTTGCACCTCCCCCAGAAAAGCGGGACTTGCCGCTAAGGGTGAAGGACCAAGGCAGGTGTCCCTGCATGGTCTGACACCTCTGAAACGTGGGTGAATAATCAGAGAGGCTTTCCTGCAATGATTAAACCCCAAGGGAAGACTGCCTTCCCAGTCCGTGACCAGCGCCGGAGTTTTGGGTCCACAGATAAAACGTGTCTCCTTTGTCTCTACCAGAAAATGAAAGGAATTGAAATTAAGAGAAGGGAGAGATTAAAGAGTGGAAAGGAGAAAGTGGTTGAGGGATAGTGAGAGAGGTTGGAGAAGAGAGTAAGAAGAGGCCGCTTACCCGATTTAAAATTGGTGAGATGTTCCTTGGGCTGGTGGGTCTGAGGACCTGAGTTTGCAGGTGGATCTTTTTCATAGAGCAAAGAACAGGAGGACAGGGGATTGATCTCCCAAGGGAGGTCCCCTGATCCAAGTCACAGCACCAAATTTCATGTGCGTCGGTGTGAAGAGACCACCAAACAGGCTTTGTGTGAGCAGCATGGCTGTTTATTTCACCTGGGTGCAGGCGGGCTGAGTCCGAAAAGAGAGTCAGCCAAATTGTTCATATTTTTATATTATACTTGTTCTATATAAATTATAGTGATTTATTGTCCTTCAATCATTATATTGTTAATATGTATTCTCTCTGATTTTTGTGATGTTTTGCTAGAAGTTAATATTTTTAATTTTTTCAAAGAACAAATTATTGGCTTTTAAATGTTTTTCTAATGATTGTTTATTTCCCATTTCATTGATTTCAATGTTTATTATTACTTCAAAATCATTTTGCATACTATCTGCTCTTTTTTAAGCCTATTAATGTGAATGCTTAGATCATTAATTTTATTTTTTTCTTTTCTTGTATAGACACCTAAATTATTATAAACTGTTTTCTACATTCTTTTGTAGTTCTTCTCTGACTATGGCTAATTTATAAGTGTGTTATTTAATTTTCAATTATTTGCAGATGTACTAGATATTACATTATTAATTAAGCTCTTGATTTCTATTAATACCCTGTAGTCAAAGATTACAAAACTTTTAATTTTACTATTAGTTTTTTTATGAGCCAGTGATATAGTTGGATATGTGTCCCTGCCCAAATCTTATGTTGAAATGTAATCCCCAGTATTGGAAATAGAGCCTGGTGGGAGGTAACTGGATCACTGGAGCAGGTTTCTCCTGAATGGTTTAGCACCATCCCCTTGGTGCTATCCTCTCGATAGTGAGTTGCTGCAATGTTTGAGTATTGAAAAGTGTGTGGCATCTTCCCCCTCTCTCTTTCTCCTGCTCTAGCCATTAGATGTGCCTGCTCCCATTTTGCCTACCACCATGAGCAAAAAGCTCCCTGAGGCCTCCCAAGAAGTAGATACGACCATGCTTCTTGTACAGCTTGCAGAACCGTGAGCCAATTAAGTCTCTCTTCTTTGTAAATTTCCCAGTCTCTGATATTTCTTTATAGCAATGTGAGAATAACCTAATACACCAAGAAAATGTTCTTGTTTAGTAAATGTTTCATATGCACAAAATAATGAGAGCTCTACAACTGTTGCATATAGTGTTCCCTAACACTCAATTAGGTCAAATGGATTAATGATTTTCAAATTTTCTACATCCTTGCTGACTTATTTGTTATATGAATTACCAGGAAAGATCTTTAGAATATAGGTTTAAACCATGATTGTTTTCACTGTAATTATGTTTATCTGTGATTGTGAATTTGGATTTATCTATTTCTTGCCTTAGTTCTAAGAATTTTTTGCTGTTACTGATTACATATGCATTTAATAATATTATATCTTCTTAATGAATTAATCATTTTATTATTATGAAATGTTCCTCTTTTTCTCTAGTATTGTTTTCTGCTTTAAATTCTATTGTCTCTGATAATAACATAGATGTATCAGCTTTTCATACATATACATAGCTTGTATATATATATACACTGTGTATATATGTATGTGGGTATATATATATTTGTGTTGTGTGTGTACACACACACAAACTATGCACTTTATTTACTTTAGAAAGAGTCTTGGCTCCCTGGCTTCAGCCCTCTTTCCAGGAGAGTGAACAGTTCTGTCTCGCTGGTGTTCCAGGGACCACCAGGGTATGAAAATAAACTCCTGCAGCTAGCTCGGTGTCTGCCCAAACAGTCACTCAGTTTTGTGCTTAAAACCCGGGGCCCTTGTGGTGTAGGCACCCTAAGAAATCTCCTGGTCTGTGGGTTGTGAAGACCATGGCAAAAGCTAGTATCTGAGCCAGATAGCACCGTCCCTCATGGCATGGTCCCTCACAGCTTCCCTTGGCTAGGGGAGGGAGTTCCCAGACCACTTGTGCTTCCCAGTTGAGGCAATGCCTCACCTGCTTCTGGTTGCCCTCCGTGGGCCGCACCCACTGTCTAACCAGTCCCACTGAGATGAACTGGGTACCTCAGTTGGAAATGCAAAAATCGCCCACCTTCTGTGTTGGTCTCGCTGGGAGCTGCAGACTGGAGCTGTTCCTATTTGGTCATCTTACCTGAAGAACTAGAAAAGCAAGAGCAAATAAATTCAAAAGCTAGAAGAAGACAAGAAATAACTAGGATCAGAGCAGAACTGAAGGAGATAGAGACATAAAAAAGCCTTCAAAAAATCAATGAATCCAGGAGCTGTTTTTTGGAAAGATTAACAAAATAGACCGATAGGAGACTAATAAAGAAGAAAAGAGAAGAATCAAATAGACACAATAAAAAATGATAAAGGAGAGATCACCACAGATCCCACAGAAATACAAACTACCATCACAGAATGCTACAAACACCTCTACACAAATAAACTAGAAAATCTAGAAGAAATGGATAAATTCCTAGTCACATACACCCTCCCAAGACTAAACCAGGAAGAAGTTGAATTCCTGAATAGACCAATAACATGTTCTGAAATTGACGCAGCAATTAATAGCCTACCAACCACAAAAAGCCCAGGACCAGATGGATTGATAGTTAAATTCTACCAGAGGTACAAAGAGAAGGTGGTACCTTTCCTTCTGAAACTATCCCAAACACTAGAAAAAGATTGACTCCTCCCTAATTCATTGTATGAGGCCAGCATCATCCTGATACCAAAACCTGGCAGAGACACAACAAAAAAAAGAAAATTTCAGGCCAATATTGCTGATGAACATCAATGAGAAAATCCTCAATAAAATACTGGCCAACTGAATCCAGCAGCCCTTTAAAAACTTATCCACTCTGATTAAGTTTCTTTCATCCCTGGGATGCAAGGCTGGCTCAACATAGGCAAATCAATAAATATAATCCCTCACATAAACAGAACCAATGAAAAAAACACATGATTATCTCAATAGATGCAAAAAAGGCCTTCAGTAAAACTCAACAGCCCTTCACGCAAAAAACACTCAATAAACTAGGTATTGATAATGGAACATATCTCAAAATAATAAGAGCTATCTATGACAAACCCACAGCCAGTATCATACTGAATGGTCAAAAGCTGGAAGCATTCCCTTTGAAAACTGGCACAAGACAAGGATGACCTCTCTCACCACTCTTATTCAACATAGTATTGGAAGTTCTAGCTAGGGCAATCAGGCAAGAAAAAGAAATAAAGGATATTCAAATAGGAAGAGAGGAAGTCCAATTATCTCTATTTGCAGATGAAAGGATTGCACATTTAGAAAACTCCATCATCTCAGCTCTAAAACTCCTTAAGCTGATAAACAACTTCAGCAAAGTCTTAGGATACAAAATCAATGTGTAAAAATCACATGTATTCCTGTACACCAATAATAGACAAACAGTCAAATGATGAGCAAACTCCCATTCACAATTGCTGCAAAGAGAATAAAATACCTAGGAATACAACTTGCAAGGGATGTAAAGGACCTCTTCAAGGAGAACTACAGGCCACTGCTCAAGGAAATAAGAGAGGACATAAACAAATGGAAAAACATTCCATGCCCATGGATATGAAGAATCAATGTTGTGAAAGTGGCCGTACTGCCCAAAGTAATTAATAGATTAAATGCTATTCCTATCAAACTACCATTGAATTTCTTCACAGAATTAGAAAAAAAATACTTTAAATTTCATATGAAACCAAAAAAAGAGCCCATATAGCCAAGACAATCCTAAGCAAAAAGAACAAAGCTGGAGGCATCACCCTACGTGACTTCAAGCTATACTACTAGGCTACAGTAACCAAAACAGCATGGTAATGGTACCAAAACAGATATATAAACCAATGGAAAAGAACACAGGCCTCAGAAATAACACCATACTTCTACTACCATCTGACTTTGACAAACCTGACACACACAAGCAATGGGGAAAAGATTCCCTAATTAATAAATGATGTTGGGAAAACTGACAAGCCATATGCAGAAAACTGAAACTGGACCCATTCCTTACACCTTATATGAAAATTAACTCAAGATGGAATAAAGATTTAAACATAAGACCTAAAACTATACAAACCCTATAAGAAAACCTAGGCAATACCATTCAGGACATAGGCATGGGCACAGACTTCATGACTAAAACAGCAAAAGCAATGGCAACAAAAACCAAAATTGACAAATGGGATCTAATTAAACTAAAGACCTTCTGGACAGCAAAAGAAACTATCATCAGAGTGAACAGGCAACCTACAGAATGGGAGAAAATTTTTACAATCTACCCATCTGACAAAGGGCAAATATCCAGAATCTACAAGGAACTTAAACATTTACAAGAAAACACAATCCATAAAAAAGTGGGCAAAATATATGAACAGACACTTTTCAAAAGAAGACATTTATGTGGCCAAGAAACATATGAAAAAAAGCTCATCATCACTGGTCATTAGAGAAATGCAAATCAAAGCCACAATGAGATACCATCTCACACCAACTGGAATGGCGATCATTAAAAAGTCAGGAAACAATAGATGCTGAAGAGGATGTGGAGAAATAGGAATGCTTTTACACTGTTAATGGGAGTGTAAATTAGTTCAACCATTGTGGAAGAGAGTGTGCTGATTCCTCAAGGATCTGGAAGTAGAAATACCATCTGACCCAGCAATCCCAGTACTGGTTATATTTCAAAGGATTATAAATCATTCTACTATAAAGACACATGCACACGTATGTCTATTGCAACACTATTTACAACAGCAAAGACTTGGAACCAACCCAAATGCCCATCAATGATAGACTGGGTAAAGAAAATGTGGAATACTATCTAGCCATAAAAAAGAATGAGTTCATGTCCTTTGCAGAAACACAGATGAAGCTGGAAACCATCATTCTCAGCAAACTAACACAGGAACAGAAAACCAAACACCACATGTTCTCACTCATAAGTGGGAGTTGAACAACGAGAACATATGGGCACAGGGAGGGAAACATCACACACAAGGGCCCTTCGGGGGTGGGTGGCTAGGGGAGGGATAGCATTAGGAGAAATACCTACTGTAGATGACAGGTTGATGGTGCTGCAAACCACCATGGCACATGTATACCTGTGTGACAAACCTGCACTTTTTGCACATGTATCCCAGAACTTAAAATATAATTAAAAATTTAAAAAAGCAAGAGTCTTGCTCTGTTGCCCAGACTGGAGTGCATTGATGCCATCTTGGTTTACTGCAACCTCTGCCTCCCAGGCTCAAGTGATTCCCATGCCTCAGCCTCTTGGGTATCTGGGAATACAGGTATGCGCCACCACGCCTGGCCAATTTTTTGTATTTTTAGTAGAGATGGAGTTTATCCATGCTTTCCTGAATGGTCTTGAACTCCTGGCCTCAAATGATCAGCCCACGTCTCCCTCCCAAGGTGCTGGGATTACAGGCGTAAGCCACTGTGCCTGGTCTATATAATTTATTTTCGTCTTTTACTTTCAAACTGCCTTTATATTTATAGTAAGTCACATATAAAAAGTATATCTTTGGAGTTTGCTTTTAAATACTTCGATAATCTCTTTTAAATGGAAAAACAGAAATAATTGACTCTATTGGCATAATTGTACCCATCCCTTGAAAATTCCTGATCTACAATAGCCATGTGCAGTTTCTATTACAATTGTATTACAAGAATCTACCAAATTACTGAGGAAGCTATCTCCTCTCAAAAGAAATGCAAGAGGTTATCTTCCAGAATCAGAAAAGGAAGAATGTTTCTTTAACCATAAACTAATTTCTCTGTGCTGATATTCAGCAGAAACTTTTTTTCTATAGTAATACACTTTCTTATTAATGTCCCATCATAACCGATCTCTTGGCAAGTTTTCATATGTAAAATATGACTTGCAAAATCATTATAATCTGATAAGAATATTGATTTTTCTGTCCTGTGAATTTTTTTAAATTAAATAAAATAAAAAGTCATAAAGCATTTTTATTGTTTATAAACAACAAATATGTTTATAGTTAATTCCTAATATGTACATGAGGAATTTAAACCAAATATAAAGCAAAATATTCTGTGTCATGTATACAAAATAGTAAATGTGTTTACATATGTTGCTGATACAATGTTAAATATAATAATTTTATGAATAGCCCATTCTGCTTTATTTTCTAATAACTGTCATTGGTAGAATTGCTGATTTTATTAGTCTTAGTAATAATGCAATTTGAGTGTGTTCATGTCATTTTAATTTTTTCATAAGCAATTCAAGCATAGATAATACCTCTTTAATTATTTTCTGCCCTCTGCCTTTAAAGGAAAAATAACATATACCATATTTTTTAAAAAGATTATTTTACTTTCTGTTATGGAGAAATACATAGTTTGATTTACTTGCTATCTTGCTTCGTCATATCTGAAAGTTAAGATAAAATCTTTGATAGCATCATTCTATTTCGTAAAAATTATTTTGTAATGGTCAATGCAACAGAAACAGGAACTAAAAAATTACCAGTTCTATAAAGTGTAATCCTCAAATATTTATCAATATAGTTTTATATTGCACTTTACTCTCTGGCTCCCTGAGCACAATCATCACACCTGGAGATTCACTTTCATCAGTGTATACAGAGTCATTTTATATTTAACCTGTTAATCTTTTTACAATTCTGATATTGTTCTACGTTGTGATATTTTATAATTGTATTTACCACCATGTTTATAGTTTGTTAAATTGCTCCTTGGTCACTTACACATTTTTGAAAAGGGAAATTAAAACACAACACACAACAGTCACCATAAATGTTACACATTTAAAACAGTTTGAAAGTACCTGAAATCACATGTCAAGACAGAATGTAATGCAGCCCTATAGCAAATATGCAATCTTCTAAAACTTTGGTTGTTAAATACATTAAGAAGTTTATGAGAATATAATAATCCTATATCATATTTTGCAATGCACGTAAGACAATTATTATTGCATTATTCTATGAAGCAGCCAAACCACTGCAGCTCTTAATAGACTACTGGGAAACACAAATAAATGAATATCAACAAATATTTACATAGAGTTCATTTCAGAATAATGGCTCTCAAATTTTTTATTGATAAACACCTGAGAGTACCACTGTGTGCAAAGTTCCCCAATGAACATTTTATATTAGCTGCTATAGAAAATAATTTATATGAAAATTTTCTGATCTAAATGTAGCTCTTCATCCTCCCACCCTGATTATATCATGGATTTAGATAATTGTCAGGTTTAAAGTTACTTTGAAATTTAGGGTTAAAATATTTTTGTTGGTTTGATTTTATTCATAGTATTTTTTGAGATGTTATACCTTGAATTTTTCTCCAAAAATCAAGAAAAGAAGGCTGGGAGATAAAGACGTAACCACTCCTTTTCTCCCCACAAAATGATCTGAGGGCATGGTACTGGATACGTAAGATATAATTACTTAAAATCCACATAACATTAGAAACTACAGGTGGAAACGCAGAGACCAAGTAATTTACTCAAATTCATACCATTAATTGCTTGGATTCAAATTCATGATTATTAGAATCTGAAACCCTCACGCTGCATTACGTTGCTTCTCAAAGGATAGCAAAGATACAATTTTACACACAGACTAAACTGTGTGTCAAAGTGCAGTTCTTAAACAACTTGTATTGGAATAATTTGGATTACTAGTTTAAAATATAAGGCATTTCAATTTCATTAAACAATATTTCTTACTGAGACCAAATATTAAATTTATCCTCAACCACAGCAATATTTCATTGCTAATATATTGGAGCTCAAACTAAAGTCTACTTTCAATTTGTTCTTTAACTAAATATCAGAAAATTTTTCTTATTCATACCAAATACATTTTTTGGCTTCACAGGGGATAATTTTTAGTTATTGTATTCTTTAAAAATATAGAATTAAAAATGATTTATGTGGTTATCATGCAAGCTGTGGGGTCTACATATGTTCATTTATATGTGGTTTGTGATTTATCCATACATGTTTACAGATTAATTAATCACTGCTCAAGTCCAGTTTTAATCCACTGACATTCATGTATTTATATTCATTTAACTTTCATATCTCCATTTATCAAAAATATTAAATTTTGGCAATTTATTTTAATAGATTTCTAGAACTAGAACTTTATTATTAATACTTTTATTAAGTATAAAACCTCATTTTTTTCTTATTTATAATTTCCTATAGATTCACTTACTTTTGAGATGCATAATAACATTCCTCACCAATTACTGACTGTCCGGATGAGTATTAATTAAACCTAAACACAGATGTGTGGTTCATTGAGAATTGTGACAAACCTTGGAAGAACTCAAAGTATTAATTAAAATTTTTTTTTAATATTATTATACTTTAAGTTTTAGGGTACATGTGCACATTGTGCAGGTTAGTTACATGTGTATACGTGTGCCATGCTGGTGTGCTGCACCCACTAACTCCTCATCTAGCATTAGGTATATCTCCCAATGCTATCCCTCCCCCTCCCCCCACCCCACAACAGTCCCCAGAGTGTGATATTCCCCTTCCTGTGTCCATGTGATCTCATTGTTCAATTCCCACCTATGAGTGAGAATATGCGGTGTTTGGTTTTTTGTTCTTGCGATAGTTTACTGAGAATGATGATTTCCAATTTCATCCATGTCCCTACAAAGTACATGAACTCATCATTTTTTATGGCCGCATAATATTCCATGGTGTATATGTGCCACATTTTCTTAATCCAGTCTATCCTTGTTGGACATTTGGGTTGGTTCCAAGTCTTTGCTATTGTGAATAATGCCGCAATAAACATACGTGTGCGTGTGTCTTTATAGCAGCATGATTTATAGTCCTTTGGGTATATACCCAGTAATGGGATGGCTGGGTCAAATGGTATTTCTAGTTCTAGATCCCTGAGGAATCACCACACTGACTTCCACAATGGTTGAACTAGTTTACAGTCCCACCAACAGTGTAAAAGTGTTCCTATTTCTCCACATCCTCTCCAGCACCTGTTGTTTCCTGACTTTTTAATGATTGCCATTCTAACTGGTGTGAGATGGTATCTCATTGTGGTTTTGATTTGCATTTCTCTGATGGCCAGTGATGATGAACATTTTTTCATGTATTTTTTGGCTGCATAAATGTCTTCTTTTGAGAAGTGTCTGTTCATGTCCTTCACCCACTTTTTGATGGGGTTGTTTGTTTTTTTCTTGTAAATTTGTTGGAGTTCATTGTAGATTCTGGATATTAGCCCTTTGTCAGATGAGTAGGTTGCGAAAATTTTCTCCCATTTTGTAGGTTGCCCGTTCACTCTGATGGTAGTTTCTTTTGCTGTGCAGAAGCTCTTTAGTTTAATTAGATCCCATTTGTCAATTTTTGTCTTTTGTTGCCATTGCTTTTGGTGTTTTAGACATGAAGTCCTTGCCCATGCCTATGTCCTGAATGGTAATGCCTAGGTTTTCTTCTAGGGTTTTTATAGTTTTAGGTCTAACGTTTAAGTCTTTAATCCATCTTGAATTGATTTTTGTATAAGGTGTAAGGAAGGGATCCAGTTTCAGCTTTCTACATATGGCTAGCCAGTTTTCCCAGCACCATTTATTAAATAGGGAATCCTTTCTCTATTGCTTGTTTTTGTCAGGTTTGTCAAAGATCAGATAGTTGTAGATATGTGGCGTTATTTCTGAGGGCTCTGTTCTGTTCCATTGATCTATATCTCTGTTTTGGTACCAGTACCATGCTGTTTTGGTTACGGTAGCCTTGTAGTATAGTTTGAAGTCAGGTAGTGTGATGCCTCCAGCTTTGTTCTTTTGGCTTAGGATTGGCTTGGCGATGTGGGCTCTTTTTTGGTTCCATATGAACTTTAAAGTAGTTTTTTCCAATTCTGTGAAGAAAGTCATTGGTAGCTTGATGGGGATGGCATTGAATCTATAAATTACCTTGGGCAGTATGGCCATTTTCACGATATTGATTCTTCCTACCCATGAGCATGGAATGTTCTTCCATTTATTTGTATCCTCTTTTATTTCCTTGAGCAGTGGATTGTAGTTCTCCTTGAAGAGGTCCTTCACATCCCTTGTAAGTTGGATTCCTAGGTATTTTATTCTCTTTGAAGCAATTGTGAATGGGAGTTCACTCATAATTTGTCTCTCTGTTTGTCTGTTGTTGGTGTATAAGAATGCTTGTGATTTTTGTACATTGATTTTGTATCCTGAGACTTTGCTGAAGTTGCTGCTCAGCTTAAGGAGATTTTGGGCTGAGACAATGGGGTTTTCTAGATATACAATCATGTCATCTGCAAACAGGGACAATTTGACTTCCTCTTTTCCTAATTGAATACCCTTTATTTCCTTCTTCTGCCTAATTGCCCTGGCCAGAACTTCCAACACTATGTTGAATAGGAGTGGTGATAGAGGACATCCCTGTCTTGTGCCAGTTTTCAAAGGGAATGCCTCCAGTTTTTGCCCATTCAGTATGATATTGCCTGTGGGTTTGTCATAGATAGCTCTTATGATTTTGAAATACGTCCCAACAGTACCTAATTTATTGAGAGTTTTTAGCATGAAGGGTTGTTGAATTTTGTCAAAGGCTTTTTCTGCATCTATTGAGATAATCATGTGGTTTTTGTCTTTGGCTCTGTTTATATGCTGGATTACATTTATTGATTTGCGTATATTGAACCAGCCTTGCATCCCAGGGATGAAGCCCACTTGATCATGGTGGATAAGCTTTTTGATGTGCTGCTGGATTCGTTTTGCCAGTATTTTATTGAGGATTTTTGCATCAATGTTCTTCAAGGATATTGGTCTAAAATTCTCTTTTTTTGTTGTGTCTCTGCCTGGCTTTGGTATCAGAATGATGCTGGCCTCATAAAATGAGTTAGGGAGGATTCTCTCTTTTCCTATTGATTGGAATAGTTTCAGAAGGAATGGTACCAGTTCCTCCTTGTACCTCTGGTAGAATTCGGCTGTGAATCCATCTGGTCCTGGACTCTTTTTGGTTGGTAAGCTATTGATTATTGCCACAATTTCAGATCCTGTTATTGGTCTACTCAGAGATTCAACTTCTTCCTGGTTTAGTCTTGGGAGAGTGTATGTGTCGAGGAATTTATCCATTTCTTCTAGATTTTCTAGTTTATTTGCATAGAGGTGTTTGTAGTATTCTCTGATGGTAGTTTGTATTTCTGTGGGATTGGTGGTGATATCCCCTTTATCATTTTTTATTGTATCTATTTGATTCTTCTCTCTTTTTTTCTCTATTAGTCTTGCTAGCAGTCTATCTATTTTGTTGATCCTTTCCAAAAACCAGGTCCTGGATTCATTAATTTTTTGAAGGGTTTTTTGTGTCTCTATTTCCTTCAGTTCTGTTCTGATTTTAGTTATTTCTTGCCTTCTGCTAGCTTTTGAATGTGTTTGTTCTTGCTTTTCTAGTTCTTTTAATTGTGATGTTAGGGTGTCAATTTTGGATCTTTCCTGCTTTCTCTTGTGGGCATTTAGTGCTATAAATTTCCCTCTACACGCTGCTTTGAATGCATCCCAGAGATTCTGGTATGTTGTGTCTTTGTTCTCGTTGGTTTCAAAGAACATCTTTATTTCTGCCTTCATTTCGTTATGTACCCAGTAGTCATTCAGGAGCAGGTTGTTCAGTTTCCACGTAGTTGAGCGGTTTTGAGTGAGATTCTTAATCCTGAGTTCTAGTTTGATTGCACTGTGGTCTGAGAGATAGTTTGTTATAAGTTATGTTCGTTTATATTTGCTGAGGAGAGCTTTACTTCCAAATATGTGATCAATTTTGGAATAGGTGTGGTGTGGTGCTGAAAAAAATGTATATTCTGTTGATTTGGGGTGGAGAGTTCTGTAGATGTCTATTAGGTCTGCTTGGTGCAGAGCTGAGTTCAATTCCTGGGTATCCTTGTTGACTTTCTGTCTCGTTGATCTGTCTAATGTTGACAGTGGGGTGTTAAAGTCTCCCATTATTAATGTGTGGGAGTCTAAGTCTCTTTGTAGGTCACTCAGGACTTGCTTTATGAATCTGGTTGATCCTCTATTGGGTGCATATATATTTAGGATAGTTAGCTCTTCTTGTTGAATTGATCCCTTTACCATTATGTAATGGCCTTCTTTGTCTCTTTTGATCTTTGTTGGTTTAAAGTCTGTTTTATTAGAGACTAGGATTGCAACCCCTGCCTTTTTTTGTTTTCCATTTGCTTGGTAGATCTTCCTTCATCCTTTTATTTTGAGCCTATGTGTGTCTCTGCACGTGAGGTGGGTTTCCTGAATACAGCACACTGATGGGTCTTGACTCTTTATCCAATTTGCCAGTCTGTGTCTTTTAATTGGAGCATTTAGTCCATTTACATTTAAAGTTAATATTGTTATGTGTGAATTTGATCCTGTCATTATGATGTTAGCTGGTTATTTTGCTCGTTAGTTGATGCAGTTTCTTCCTAGTCTCGATGGTCTTTACATTTTGGCATGATTTTGCAGCGGCTGGTACCGGTTGTTCCTTTCCATGTTTAGCACTTCCTTCAGGAGCTCTTTTAGGGCAGGCCTGGTGGTGACAAAATCTCTCAGCATTTGCTTGTCTGTAAAGGATTTTATTTCTCCTTCACTTATGAAACTTAGTTTGGCTGGATATGAAATTCTGGGATGAAAATTCTTTTCTTTAAGAATGTTGAATATTGGCCCCCACTCTCTTCTGGCTTGTAGGGTTTCTGCCGAGAGATCTGCTGTTAGTCTGATGGGCTTCCCTTTGAGGGTAACCCGACCTTTCTCTCTGGCTGCCCTTAACATTTTTTCCTTCATTTCAACTTTGGTGAATCTGACAATTATGTGTCTTGGAATTGCTCTTCTCGAGGAGTATCTTTGTGGCGTTCTCTGTATTTCCTGAATCTGAACGTTGCCCTGCCTTGATAGATTGGGGAAGTTCTCCTGGATAATATCCTGCAGAGTGTTTTCCCACTTAGTTCCATTCTCCCCATCACTTTCAGGTACACCAATCAGACGTAGATTTGGTCTTTTCACATAGTCCCATATTTCTTGGAGGCTTTGCTCATTTCTTTTTATTCTTTTTTCTCTAACCTTCCCTTCTCACTTCATTTCATTCATTTCGTCTTCCATTGCTGATACCCTTTCTTCCAGTTGATTGCATCGGCTCCTGAGACTTCTGCATTCTTCACATAGTTCTCGAGCCTTGGTTTTCAGCTCCATCAACTCCTTTAAGCACTTCTCTGTATTGGTTATTCTAGTTATACATTCTTCTAAATTTTTTTCAAAGTTTTCAACTTCTTTCCCTTTGGTTTGAATGTCCTCCCGTAGCTCAGAGTAATTTGATCGTCTGAAGTCTTCTTCTCTCATCTCCTCAAAGTCATTCTCCATCCAGCTTTGTTCCGTTGCTGGTGAGGAGCTGCATTCCTTTGGAGGAGGAGAGGTGCTCTGCTTTTTAGAGTTTCCAGTTTTTCTGTTCTGTTTTTTCCCCATTTTTGTGGTTTTATCTACTTTTGGTCTTTGATGATGGTGATGTACAGATGGGTTTTTGGTGTGGATGTCCTTTCTGTTTGTTAGTTTTCCTTCTAACAGAGAGGACCCTCAGCTGCAGGTCTGTTGGAGTACCCTGCCGTGTGAGGTGTCAGTGTGCCCCTGCTGGGGGGTGCCTCCCAGTTAGGCTGCTCAGGGGTCAGGGGTCAGGGACCCACTTGAGGAGGCAGTCTGCCCGTTCTCAGATCTCCAGCTGCGTGCTGGGAGAACTACGGCTCTCTTCAAAGCTGTCAGACAGGGACATTTAAGTCTGCAGAGGTTACTGCTGTCTTTTTGTCTGGGCCCTGCCCCCAGAGGTGGAGCCTACAGAGGCAGGCAGGCCTCCTTGAGCTGTGGTGGGCTCCACCCAGTTGGAGCTTCCTGGCTGCTTTGTTTACCTAATCAAGCCTGGGCAATGGCGGGCGCCCCTCCCCCAGCCTCGCTGCCACCTTGCAGTTTGATCTCAGACAGCTGTGCTAGCAATCAGCGAGACTCCGTGGGCGTAGGACCCTCCAAGCGAGGTGCGGGATATAATCTCATGGTGCACTGTTTTTTAAGCCCGTCGGAAAAGCGCAGTATTCGGGTGGGAGTGACCCGATTTTCCAGGTGCTGTCCGTCACCTCTTTCTTTGACTAGGAAAGGGAACTCCCTGACCCCTTGCGCTTCCCGAGTGAGGCAATGCCTCGCCTTGCTTTGGCCCTCGCACGGTGCACGCACCCACTGGCCTGCGCCCACTGTCTGGCACTCCCTAGTGAGATGAGCCCGGTACCTCAGATGGAAATGCAGAAATCACCCATCTTCTGCGTCGCTCATGCTGGGAGCTGTAGATGGGAGCTGTTCCTATTCGGCCATCTTGGCTTCTCCCCCTGATTATGGCATGTACAAATGAGAGTAGCAAATACAAACAACATCAAGGGAGGTTCCCCACAGATAATGGTTGATTTACTGCCTATACTTCTTTTAAATTACTTGTTAATTTTTTGAGTTTACTCAGCAGGTCAAGTGAATTAAAAATAATCACCACTCACAGATCAGTCAATTAAGTCAAAATGATTGAGAAATTGTCTACATGGAAGCATAACAAAAGCTTTTGAAAAGGCTAAGAACTTGGAATGTGTGAATAAAGATGACTTGTGACAGAGAAACTAGTAAAAAAAATTGATAATTGTTTCTCCTTAAAAGAGAAAGAAAGTATGAGGAGGAGTGTAGTCAACCTGAAGCACAGAAAAAGAAAATTCATGGCACAATGCAAGGTATAGTCCATGTGCCTCCAGTGCTTTCCCAGGACATGATGTCCTGGTCCACTGGTAGGAGATTTTATTCTCTTTTCAGGCAGGCGTACAGTGTAGAGATCCCTGATGCAGTTCAGGAAAAAGAGACCTTGATGCTTCAAGCTGCTAAATGCTATAAAACTTACCAACTATAATCTGAGTCTTATATTACCAGCAAGTTTTGTGTCACTTCTGAAAATAATAATTGGCTTCTATGTAGGTTTTCTCAAATGGTAGAGAATATCTGTCAAATCAATATACATTTAAAGTATATTTCACTGACATTTATAATATTTCATTCAAGTTAAAAAAATATTGTGATTTACTTAGATACTGTAAATTGGTACAATCTGAATTCATATCTACAAATGACATGGTTACTGGAGGTAGGATGCTGGAATTGAGAGGCAGATAGAGAGCCTCACAAGGCAATTTTTAATACCAGAGGTTCTCTGACACAGATTGGACGAAGCAGTGAGAGAGATTCATGACAGGCTTATTAGGTCTAATGAAGGAAGGCAGTTTGATGATCAAATTCAGGCAAACCAGATGCAAATGCAAATCCTAAAATGAAAGTAATATAATGATTTACTGTAGTTACTCAAGATTCAATAAATGAAAAAGTTTGGAGAAAAAAATCCTCTTATTCTAGACTTACACAATGTAATAAAGTAGCCACTAGCCTACATGTCACTATTTATACTTAAATTTAAAACAGTTAAAATTAAATGAAATAAAGTTTTCTGTTCTTCAGTCAAACCAGCCATATATCAATGCTTTAGAGCCACATGTGGTTAATGGAGAATTTATTGCACAATGTGGGTCTAGAGCATTTCCATCATCAAAGAGAGTTCTATTAGACAGTGTTGCTACGAACTGATGCCCTTGAACATTGCTAAATAGTATAGTAATTTTCATTTGCATGAATATGTCACCTTGGATTAAAGATAAAGCTCCCAAAAAGACAATTCCACTGAAGCCAAAACCTCTCAAAACAGACGAAATATAATTTCTAAACTTTCAAAACTTGTGATTTGATCTTGGACTGTGGTGACATCAAGGTATTGTGGAAATGTCCATTTTTTTCTCATTGGAGTCTCTCCCTAAAACTTCAACCAATTGGAGAGAGTATATTTCTTCTAATTATTCATGGATTCATTTATTCACTCACTCATTCAAGACATTGAGTGTAAGAAATATTTACTGGACAGTGTGGTAAGAGGTAGAAATACAAAGATAACTGAGATATAGATTATTCCTATAAGAACCTCATAGCACAGACACAGAGACATGCATGCAAGAACATTATTCCAACACATCATTTTTAAACACATAATTTTAAAAAGGGCCATCCTGTTGGAGGGTTTAAGTGAAAATGAGACCAGAGATAAAAAGATAAGTTAATGTACTATGTCTGAACAAAGGCAATGGGAGACATGATAGAAAGATAATAGTTTCAAAAACACTTAGGGGAAAATTAATACAATTTAACGATAACTGAGTGTAGGGGTTAGGGATAATAAGGTGTAAAAGATAATTATCACAAATTTGTTGTGGCCACATATTTTATTATACCATTGTAAGATGTAAGCCTCCACACTGCTGTCCAAGCCAGTAAACCTGAGAGTTATCATTGATTCCTCTCTTATCTTTGCTCTGCAAGCAATTATGTCTTATATACTCTAACTAATTTCTCTTAAAGTTGCTCAAATTTTTTCATTCCTGTTTCCATTGATTTAGGGTTTTGGGGTTTATTTTTCAGTTTTGTTGTGTTTTGTTCTTCCTTACAGAGATTGAACAGCAGTCACCTCTTTTTTCTCTCTTTCTCTCTCCTTCCCTCTCTCTTTCTATTTTCTTTTCTTTCTTTCTGTAGATTTTTTTTCTGGCTTCAATCTAAAGTCCTCAAAATTGAGATCCCTCTAAACCCTTTCTTACCCTGATGCTGAAGTGATTTTTTTTTCTGTAAAATATGAATATAATCAAATCACTCCCATTTAGTATTTCAATGCCTGTTCATTCCCTATTGCGTAAATTTGAATACTACAGAATGACATTCCTTAAGGCCTTTTCCTTCCTTGCCTCATATATATTTACAACTTCAAATGTAACCTTTGGAAGATATTTAAGCTTTAACAGTTTTCTGAATGAGGAATGGTCTTGTTCTTCTTTTTTGTCTTTAGACTTATCCCCCTAGTGGCAATGCTTACCCCAACTCCAACACTGCCTGGTTATCTTTGTTGGTGTATAAATATTTATATTTATGTTGGTGTACAGTCAGCTTATGTGTTACCTCCTGAGGAGGCTTTTCCCATTCGTGCTTCCAGGCCCCCGTCTGGGTTGGATGCCTTCCCTGCAAGGTCATACATTCCTGTGCATGCCTTGTAGGAGCACTTTACACTATGGGTGGTTATCCATTTGCTGTAGTATGTTTAATCTGTGCTCTTCAGCATCTAGTAGAGTGTCTAGTGGTGACTTTAACCAGGTTATGGAACATAGGAAGAGGAGATTGGGTGGGGGGGAATCTATAAATGCCCAATGAGCAGTTTCATTTAGTTATCCAACAATGAGAGAAATATTCTAGGCTTGATACGTAAATGTTGGAGTAATCAAAATCTAGCTTGCAATAAAGTTGCATAAAATGACCATGGAGAAACCGTATGTTTAGAAAGACAAGAAGATAGGCAGTATCCCTACAGGAATTCTTGATTTCCTTTCACTCTAACATAGAAAACACAAAACTGAATAAAAGATTCACTTACATTGGTAACCCATGCTTTCTTCCATCTTTCTATGTAATCATGCTACTTGCTAAGTAATATTAATACAATTTTACATGATATTTTCTTAATATGATTAAGTGTAATTTCCTGAATTTTCAACTTCACTCTCCTAACACTTTCTTGTCACCAAATCACCAGTATAGCCTTATCTGTCACCCTCTGCTTATTCTTTGCCTATTGAGATTTCACTATTAATTAGAGTCTTATTATTCTCTTGAGATGCCACTGTTCATTGTTTTCTTCAACAAGTATTTGTTGAGAGTCTAAGCCTTGAACTTGTTTTGCAGACACACAAAAAAAATTATGTGACAAAGAATAAAACATTGTCTTTATGCTGCTCATTAAACTGAGAATTTTTCTCTAAAGGTAGGCATGAGAAAATTTTCATTTTAACATTTAAATTTCATTTAAAATCAGCAAAATAAGACTTTGTGCCTATAGATACATTCGTTTTAAACATTTTATTTAAGGTGGCAGGTCATGAATGCTTTTATGAGTTTTTTGGAACTCTTTCTAAGAACAAGACTGCCCAAATTATTCTTTAAAAAGTAAAAGTTAATCACGTAACTCCCCTACTTACAATATTTTTGCGCTTCTGATAGCACTTAGGAAAAAATGCTAAATTCTTTTACATGAGTGTCAAGACCACTAACAATCCAGCTGATGGTCAAATTCCAATCTTCATCTCATGTCATTCTTTCCCTGCTATGTTTTGGCTACACAAAACTTCTATTTTTCTTGCCTCTGTGTTCTCATATATGCTATTCCCTGGGCGGTACTTACAAAGAACTTTCTTCCTTCCTCTCTCTTCTCGTCTAATCTCAATTTCATAATTTAAGTTAAACTTAATATTTGATTTACTCAGAGACACCCTTTACTCATGAATATAATTGCATAACCTGTGCTGCTCCGTATTCATTATGCTGAGTAATTGGTTTAACATGTAACAATTTATATTAATCGGTATGATTTTTGTACAATGTTGGCCTGTCACTATACCATAAAGTCTATCAGAAAAATCAACTCTGTGACTGGGCGTGGTGGCTCAACCTGTAATCCCAGCACTCTGGGAGGCCGAGGTGGGAGGATCACCTGAGGTCAGGAGTTCAAGGCCAAACTGGCCGACATAGTGAAACCCCCCGCCATCTCTACTAAAAGATACAAAAATTAGCTGGGTGTGGTGGCATGCGGCTGTAGTCCCAGCTACTCAGGAGTCTGAGGAGGGAGAATCACTTGAATCCAGAAGGTGGATGCTGTAGTGAGCCAAGATCACACCATTGCACTCCAGCTTGGGGAACAGAGTGAGAGTTTGTCTCAAAAAAAAAGAAAGAAAGAAAAAGAAAAGAAGAAAAGAAAAAAAAGAAAAAAGAAAAATCAACTGTGAATGCTAACCATTAAATTTCTACCCAATGGTATAGTATCTGGCTCAGAAGAGGTGTTTGGAAAACATTCATGTAATTAATATTCTTCCAATTTATATTATTTAGAAAGGAATCTATCATAAATCATAATGTATATACTCTCAGCTAGTTTTGACAAAGATAATAATATCAAAGGTGACAAACAGAGTTTACTTCTGTAAAGACTGAATAATAAATTTAAAAAGTCACGAGCATGGCAGCAAAAGCGAATCCTTAAACTATATCATTATCCACTCAATACTATCAAAAGTGACTGATGTGTATCAGTTCTGTGTCTGTTGGTACTATAAGTACAGCAATATTTTCATGCTTTCCCTACTTTAAAACTAATATTTTTAATTTTTGTCAGCCTAGAAAATGCACACACAATCATATCCAAAAGGAAAGTTTACGTGGCCACAATCAGTGAGTGTATACTATATGAAGGACCCTATATTAAATGCTGGAAGGCTTCAAATAGATATCGTTTATGAATGTCTGTGAGCTAGACTGTGAAAAATAAGCAGTGCTCATTTTCAGGAAGATAAAGGGATAAGACTCTTACAGGGAGAGCAAATATAGGATATTAGAAAATTCATGAAAAAATATTATTCAGTTATTTGGTATGTCTAAAACTAAACATACAAAACATACATATGAGTGCAGTTGAGGGAAATAATACTAAAAATACAGTTTGGAATCAATTTGTGGAAGGTTGGAAATGTCTCTAAATGGTATGTCAAAACTAGTATTTATATCATAGATAGTATTTGAAATTCAAAGATTTTTGCAGTTTTCAGCAAAATAAAATTATCAGGGTTCATTTTGTAAACAACTATACTGAGAGTAAATAGTGGACTGAGAAGCATAATGTTGGAAACAGGAAAACTAGATGGAAGATGTTTGTATTAGAATAAACAAAATACAATGAATGCCTTGACTTTGTATAGGCATGTAGAAAAACCCAAATATTTGAGGGTATGTACTCGTTATTTTCTGTGGCTCCATCACAGTTTTTTCCTGGGGACAGATTATAATTTATATGTATCTTTGTAATTTGAGGGTCACCACGGTTTCTAAAACATAGGTAGGTTCAATAAACGTGTTAAATTAAAAAAAAATAAAGAATATTCAAAGGCTATCTACAGGTCAGTATGAGAACCAATAAAAGTGAATAAATAAATCTGACTGTGAACAGGGTCACAAAATTGTTAATATATGTGAGTCTTAAAATATGAAATCACTACTAGAGATGAAAATAATCCAGAGAACAGCATCAGTAGACAAGAAGAGAGATGTATGTACAGGACAGGTGCACAATAGAGACTGGAGATCTAGACAAGTGCTGAGAAGAAAGGGGAAATAATTAGGTGAGGATAATGCTGTAAGAAACAATCTCAAAGGACTGAGGCAAAATGAGTAATGACACATAGGTTGGAAACATTCCCTTTAAAGTTAGGAAAAGAGAAAGATGTTTACCATTACCTATTATAATCAACATTGTATTAGAGTTCACAGACAGCTCAATAAGCAAAAAAGAAGCTTCAGAAAAAAAGAGTGAAAGAAGAAACAAGACATTCATTGTGTGCATATCATGTGACTCTTTACATAGGAAATCCAAAATAATCTAAAAACAAATATGTAGAAATAAAAGAGATTAGCAAGGTGGCTGAATATATTTATATACATAAAATATTGTTTTATTTTAGACACACATAAACATATAAATTGCATTCTTTTATCTAAGCAAGAGAATATAAAATCCGTATTTTTTAAAAGACACTATTTGCAAATGCTACAACACCTATAAATTATAAATTATCTAGGGATAAATAAAATAAATATATGTGGGAACTTTACATAAGAAATTATCAAAAAGAAAAAGACAAGTGCTTGTGGATAAGAAGATAATATCAAACAAATACAAATTCTCCTCAAGTTGATACAGAGATATGATTTCATTCCAAATAAAACTCTAAAAGTTATGATAAACATGTTTGTGTAAATTGGTTTAATCTGAAATTTAGGTGATGTGCCAACTTACTTCCAAAGACAAAGAATAAAAAAGGGGGATTTCCTCTGCCAGAATAAAATAAAATCTTATTATAATGCTTTATTAATTAATTGATGCAGTATTTGTATAGTGAACAATAAATTTCCAAAGGGAATTAAAAATAAAGCCCAGATACAAATCCATGTACAAATGAAATATTGGTATGTTCCAGATGTAGCTTCACAGATCACAAGGGGTACTGTACAACAAATTCGGTTAAGGAAAATGATTATGTAGATGGGGAAAATGAAAGCACATATTGAATCTGAATTAAAACTGAAATCATAAACTAAATTTTTAGAAAAACATATGAATAAATTTCATTTGTTATTAAAGGAAACATTTTTAAATGGGGTATCAAAAGTGCTTAAAGTGTAATAATAGATGGCAAATTTGCTACCATTAAAATTGGCAAACCTCTGTTCATCAAAACACACTTTAAAAAAAGTGAAAGATACAGTTATGCATCACTTAATGGTGGAGATACATTTTGAGAAATACATCGTTAAACACTTTTGCAATTGTGCAAACATCATACTGTGTACTTCACAACCATCTACACCGTGAGAACAAACCTAAATAAAATAGCCTACTACACACCAAAGCTACATGGTATACTCATTATAATTTTATGGGACAATTGGCGGATACGCAGTTAGTTGTTGACTAAAATACTGTTACGCAGTGCATGAGTTGTACGTAGGTAACATGTGGAGGAGAAATTTGCAGCAAGTAAAATAACAGATTAGATAATATCAATAGTACATAGACTTCTAGTAATTGAGAAAAATAAGTCAATAAGAAACTGGGTAAAATACTTGAATAGATTTTTCACAAAATATGAAACACATGTAGCTAACACCCATTGGAAAATATTATTAGCATTAGTCACAAGCAAAAGGAAAATCAAGACCACAATAGCATCTGCACATATTTGATAAACAAAGACCTTTTTTAAAAATCTGACAAGAACACAGGTTGAAGAAGGAATGTATTATCAGATTCCAAAGTGCTGATTGGTACAGCAGCTTTGGCGGTGTTGAGCATTAACATAAACCAAGGCTGGGATACATATGTATATACATAAAATTTTAACTCAAGAATATCAGAAGACTTAACAACAGTATATGTACTAGCAGAGTTTATAACTTAAAATATTCTTAAATACGAACTGGACAATAGATAAGTAATTTATAGTAGGTTCACATCTATTAATAGATATTGTGCAGCAGTGTAAAACAATGAACAAGAGTTATCAGAAGAAAATATAAACAACTCTTAGTAACATAATTTGAAGATTAAACCAGATGTTTCCAAAGACAAAGTATCATACTTGTTCTCTCCTTGTCTCTGCAAATTCTTATTTCCACTGTGTTTCTCCTGGAGGTAAATAGAAGAAGGTAGAATATAATGAAACTACTGAAAAACTTGGGAATGGTGAAGACAACGAGACAAAAATGAGAGTAAAAGACATTTCTGTGGAAATGAAGAACTAAAAAAGATAAAATAGGAGCTTTTGTTCAGAGACAGTAATTTCAGAGTTTGATAACTGAAGATGAGAGCATATTCCTTATGGCACTGAAAGCAAAGATTTGGCTAGATATGGGGGTTACTAAGATGGGTTTGGTGCAAAGGAGCCTCAGGATAGTTATTGGGTCACTATCGGGAATTACAATGTTGGTGGTGGTGGTGGTGATTGTGGGGGTAGTTTGCTTCAAAAAACTGTTATTGGGCCAACCACAGTGTTTCACGCCTGTAATCCCAGTGCTTTGGGACGCTGAGACAGGAGGATCACTTGAGGCCAGGAGTTCAAGACCAGCCTGGCCAACATAGGAAGACCTCATCTCTAAAAAAAATAACAATAATAATAATAAAATAACTGTTATTTTCTATGAATCTTATTTCATAGTCTAAGAGCGTCTCTGAAAATTTATAAATATATGCTATGACTGTATTTATTCAGTGGCCTAAGCCGTGGGAACTGGACCATAGTATCTTTCACCAACTGAGCACTCCAGTCTTCAGTAGCAAATTACCAAAAAAGCATATAGGATATCTGCACACCTTTATACCAATATGCAATATTGGTTGAACAGTAGAAAATATAGCATTTAGAGTGGTGCATTCATCCTAAAACCACTCCAGAACACAGCCTTAACAGCAGGAATCTGTTCTTCCTTTTCAATCTCTTGTAGACCTCTATCTAAGTACAGATATGATCTCTATATAAGTAGAGATCAGGCATTCCTTCTATACATGTTCACAGAAAATTATGCCGTAGATAGGGAAGACTTCCTAGGCCAGCATCAACCATATTTGACCCACCGAGTGAGCTTCCTTATTGTGCAGTATGGCAACTTCCAAATAATATATAGATCTGTGTTACTTAAAACAGTGGTAGGAAGACTAAGCTAAGAACCTTCTTTGCCTGGATTTGGTTGGTTAATGTTCTAGAAGTGAAGTGCAAGTACCAACTTCAGTACAAGATTCTAGCCAATGTTTTAAGAGGATATGACACTGATTTCAGCTTGATTCCATTTTCAGCAATGGCCCAACCTGCCAGCAGATGCTTTTCCCAGATACTCTTCATATTTACAATGTAAATGTCATTACATTTCTTCTGGAAGTCAGGATTAGTGTAACTTAATCATGTTCCCACAGCAAGGAAGTTAAGAATATCTTCATTTTTCCATCTGTAGGGCATTAAGGGCTGCAGACAATTTTCTATCGATCACTCTCTGGGTAACATGGAAAAATGTTAACGTTTTAAAATGTCATAGTCTTATTTCTCTATCTCCTATACAAGCCTCCCCTTCTTACCCAACAGTTAAAGTTTAGAGAGAGTCAATGCTTTCTTCTAGACCCTCATTTCTTCTTACAAGGTATTCTTTACTGAGACAATCTTGTTTACATTCTCTACATCAGTTAATATCTCTAAGATGCTGACTTTGATATACATGTATTTTTTACCAGACTCTAGTTCATGCATTATGATCAATTTCCTACAAAATATTTTTGCTTAGATTTTCAGAGATGTCTCTAAAAACTAAATGCATCCTCTTCCATTCAAATCTAAAATATTATTACATTTTATTCTATTTCCTATTTCAGTTGATAATAGCAGGTGAGACAGCCATAAATCTGGTACAGATTTGCATAGTGTAGTTGGCATCGCTAGTTTTCAAGAAATCAGTTTTTCTCGCCTTCCAGGCTAGAACCCCCTATGGTGCTTGTGAACCCCTTGAAGTAGGTGAGGACCATGTGACTAGGTCCTGCCAAATAGCCCTGAGGGTGACAAAGGAGGAGACCTAATGATGAGATGAGGGGATTGAAAGATTGAAGTAGCCTGGATTTTGAATTATTACCGATGACATTAGCCATAGAGAGACATTCAAAAACCCACAGCAGAATTTTCATGAATGAGAAGTAAGCGTTCATTTTGATAAGCCGTTGCAACGTCATTATAGTTTGTTACTGTGACCAAATATAATGGTTAAGAATATCAGAGTCATTCTGGCTGGTTTTGAAAACTGTAATACTTTAAGAAATTAATTTAAATTCTCCTGTCAGTAGTTTCCTTATTTATATAATGGTGATAATCCCAGTTCTTGCCTAATAGGGTTGATCAGAGAATGGGAGGAGGTAATTTATGCAAAGCTCTCATTATAAGTTACAGAACAAAAATTGTTAGTCATCTTTATATTTATTATTTAATTCACCATGAAATGTGAATTTTTGTCAACTAATTATTTTTTAAATGTGTTTCTGTTTATCTTCAGTGCTACCAGTTGAGTCTAATCTAAACTAACATGTCTTACCTGAACTTACTGATATGGCTTGCTAAAAAATCTTCATCCCATTATCCACTCTGGTACCTTTTAAACCATTCTCCAATTTCCTGCCTGGGTGGTCTTTACAAAATGAAGATATTGTCCAACAATATTCCTTCTGCTTAAGAGATTTAAACAGTTTTCCATTGCTCTTTAGATAAGGATCAGATCACTAAGGTATGAGCTTGCTAAGATCTGGTCCCTAGCTATATTTTAAATGCATCTCCTATTACATGGGGTCATGCTATGGTGTTCTATCGACACTGTCTTTCAGCTCCTCAAGAACATGCCATGCTTCCTCCTGTCACAGAACTTTTATGTAAACTTTGTTAGAATCTGGGAAACTCTTTTGTTGAGAACTTGCTTCTCATTACTCATAGCTCAATGCAAACATCACTTCTTCAGAGAACTCCACTCCATTTCTGTAGCCAAAATAAGGTTCCTTTATTATAAACTCTTGTACAGCAATACACCTTTACTTCCCATTATCTGTGGAAAAAGACTCAAATGCACTTTCCTGTAAACTTTTAGGAAAGGGCTAAATATTTGACCCTTGGCTCTGTTTGTTCCAAAGTTAATTGTTACAGCACAGTTTACTTCTACCTTGCAAGAAAAGCAAGAAACTTTTTTTAAAAGCACTGCTGAAATATTTTATTGTCCCTATGTAAGCACAAAGGAAAACATTCAAACAAACAGGACTAATACAGGTCAGGAAAGAGTTCAGGTAAAGTTATGTTGTCATATTTTGTATATAATGGGAAATTGCCAAACTGAGTAATGGAGGCCAATAATGTACTAATAGCATAGTTTATGTCTCCATGTCTGGAAGAATCGTACCCTATGCCAAGGTTTAAAGCCAATAGAAGTTAGATATGCCTGAGACAAAAACAAAAATCTATAATGTATTGCAGTATACAACTAGATACTTCTCTGTGTGTCCTTCATAAAGACGAACAAGATTTTCATATTTTCAGCTATTAAACGGTACTGCTTGAGTTCCACTTTTTTTTTTTTTTGAGACAGTCTCATTCTGTCCCCCATGCTAGAGTGCAGTGGTGTGATTTCGGCTCACTGCAACCTCCGCCTCCCATGTTTAAGCAATTCTCCTGTCTCAGCCTCCCGAGTAGCTGGGATTACAGGCACGTGCTAGCATGCCAGGCTAATTTTGGATGTTTAGTGGAGACGGGGTTTTGCCCTGTTGGTCAGGCTTGTCTCGAACTCCTGACCTCAGGTGATCTGCCTGCCTTGGCCTCCCAAAGTGCTGGGATTACAGGCGTGAGCCACCGCACCTAGTCGAGAACTTCTTATGACAGCACATTTCAGTTTAATGTATTTAGCAGCTTATTTAATAAAGCTTGGCCTCTTCTTCTAGACTCTAAACTATGAGAGCCAGTGCCATGTCTATTTTTGATCATCATTTTATACCCAGTATCTAACACAAAATCTGGTTTATAATGTATGTCTGCTGATTTTATTTAACACAAATGAAGACATACATCATTGATGGTGGCAGGGCACAGGCCAATGATAATCATGGTTTTTAAAGAAAAAAATCTTGAAAATCAGTAATAGTTAATATAAGGTACATAATTATTGATAACTAAATGAAAGATATTCTGCAGAGCAAAGAGATTGCCAACTTCTTTCTATTATGTTTTAAGACAAATGGCATCATAAGGGAAAATCTAGGTTTCCCTTAGGGAAACAGGTATACGAAATGTAAAAGAAAACAACAAGGTATGAGTGAATCTGAGAAGAACAGAATGGTTGACATAGCACAGTAAATGATCAAAGTAGGGAGGCGTGTCAACAGAATAAGATAGAGTTTGACTAGTGGAGTGAGAGACCAGAAAATACCAAGAAGCACAGAGGCTACAGTTTGTTTTCTCATGTCTGTTTACACTGCTTCTTTAATAATAGAACCCCTGACTTTTACTGACACAATACTGTCTGAATTAAAGTCCACATTACCCAACCTACCTTCCAGCTAGGCGTGGGTGTATGACTGATTTCTGACCAGAGGAATGTGAACCTTGTGGAAATTGTCTTTACAAGGAAAGGGCAAGACTCATTTTTTTCTTTTTTTACTTCCTCTTGTGGAAATGTGGATACAATGTTTGGAGCCACAGCAACTATCTTAAGTCATTTAATGGCCTTAAAGGCTGAGACAGGAGATTAATGTTAAAAAATTCCTTAAAACATTATAGAAGAACATAAGTGTATTGTGTTTTTCAGTAAGAGCCCTTAAAAAAGGCTCTTATTCCAGGTAACAGTGAAGTATTGAATACATGAATCTAATGTTGCTCCCTACTCAACTACGATAATTACAGTAGAAAGATTTTTTAAGTGCATAAAACCTCAAGAACAACAAGAATAAGGAGAAAATGTCAGCCAAATTTTAGAAGTAGAAAAACACATGAACAAATTATAGTTACCTAAGCAGACTTGAAAGGGTTGCATCCCAAATGGGCAGTGGAAAAAGCTGAGAACCAATCAGTTACACCACAGAATCCTCAAAAGGCAGAGGAACCAGCTGTCCAAAGTGCATTAATAACTAGTAGTATAAGTGGGGGCATAAAATAAGGCAGATGTATTAAGTGTAGTTTCAAAACCTTTAACATGGATTTTGATCAAGATGAGTGAAATTTAGGAGAGATTTTTCAATGTGTTAATGATACTAAATTAGACATGAAATTTTGCAAGTTAACCTTAAGGTTAACTGTATTGCTCATTAAGAGTGTTATACTTCTTGCAAGTATAATATTATAGAAATTTTTAGTTGAAATGTAAGAAAACAATAATCATCCTTTGTAAAGAGCAGAAATATATTTGTTTAATGTCTCTTTTATATTAACCTCACCATAAATGTGAAAACAAGATACAGTGTAATGTAATGCATTAAAAAGGAGTCTTAAAAATCTTACAGTTCAGCATGGTTCATTAAGAAAGTATTCCCTATCTACATTGTAACACATGTTTCTTTAGCTTTAGAAAATAGAAACTGGAATATGTTGAATTAGACCTCAGCCCCTAGGGTATAAATTACACTGGCTTCCGAATTTATCATCATTTGACAGATACTAAAATATGAATCTTCCCAGTTTCAAAAATGTTCTTGAACTTCGTTTTGTGATTTAAAAATAAAACTCATATATTCGTTTTATTCTGAAAGTATTTCCTTTATATATAGAATTAGAAACTTATTTGGTGAGAAGAAAATATTGTCAATACTTATTATATCATATTCCTTTCAATTACAAGAACAAGATCTGCTCTGTCTTCACTCTATTTGAACCAGAGTAGTTCTAGTTTTTATTTGCTTCCTGTATTAGATTTCTGCATAATATTTTGTTTAAAGAGAGGGCTCTTATTCCAGGTAACAGTGAAGTATTGAATATATTAATCTAACGTTGCTCCCTACTCAACTATGACAATTACAGTAAGAAGATTTTTTAAATACACGAAACCTCAAGAACAATGAGAATAAGAAAGGAGAAAATTTCAACAAAATTTTAGAAGCAGAAAAACAAACAAATAGTTACCTAAGTAGACTTGAAAGAGTTCTATCAGTATGTTCAGCTCCCCTGTTCTTTGTTCTTCATTTTAAAGTTTAACTTTCTCGTTCTCGTCATCTCCTTGCCCCTAGTTTCAGTAAACAACCCCCTCCTAGCCTCTATCACCTGCTCCATCCTGTGTCACCCCTGGTCACCTGCTCCATCCTGAGACACCCCTGGTCACCTGCTCTGACCTGAGTCATCCTGAGTCACCTGTTCTGTAACTGACCTTCCCGCCAAACTACTCGCCCCACCATTCTGGCTCCTACGCCTGCTCTCTTTAAAATAGCCAATCGGAATTAGCTTTGACTGTGCGTTCCAGCCCTAGCCAACAGGGGAACAACACAACAGTAGGGGCTACCTGTGTCAGGAATAAGAACCCTTTCCTCTCCCTTGCTCAGGTGTGCTCTCACCATTGCTCCATCCACGAGGTACACCCTTCTATAGAAGTGAAATTGCCTGCTGAGACAATTAAAAAAAAAAAAAAGAAAGGGTTGCATCCCAAATGGGCAGTGGAAAAAGCTGAGAACCAACCAGTTACACCAGAGAATACTCAAAAGGCAGAGGAACCAGCTGTACAAAGTACATTAATAGCTAGTAGTATAAGAGAGTACATAAATTAAGGCAGATGTATTAAGTGTAGCTTAAAAATAGTGGATCCTGTGTTACATCCTTCTTCACTCCTAGGAACTTTCCTGCTGCGAATCCAGCAAATCTCTAGAGGAGAACACCAGATTCCATTGAAAGACTGAGCCTTATATTTAAAATAGCTTGATTAAATGACCACAGTCATTCTGAATGCAGAACGCAGAGATCCTAAACTCTCTTAATTGATGTTTAGCAGAATACTGGCCGTCAGAGCCTTAATCTCCAGCCAGGAAAGTAAAAGACACTTCCTGGGGGAATCGAACAGGCCCAAAAGAAAAGACCCAAAGATAGGGACATTTGGAAGGATTCCTCGGCAAATAGGCCACCTGGATTAATCTATGGTAATGCTCAAATTAGGTAAGTATTCTTCCCCATCCTGCTGTAGAGTGATATAGAGCTTCTAAATCAGATTTTAGTTTTTCTTTCTTTATCATAAGCAGGTTGCTAAAATTAATAAACATCTGAAGAAAACTCCTAATATGAAAGACAGAAATCTAACTAAGCAAACAGAATAATGCGACTGAAAGGAAACATCTTTTTGGGAAGAAGGGAATGTCAAAAGATTACCAGTAATGTCTTCAAATATGTAACATATATCACAGCCATAAAACAAGAACTCATAGAATTTAAATCAGTTGGGCAGAAATGAAAAACTCAACACAATATTTGCAAGATAACAATGAAACAAATGAGAAATAGGAGAGCAAAAATAAATTTAGATTCAAAAGTTCAGGAATTCCAATGTTAAAAGAAACCGAGCTGTTTAAAGTGAACAGAGAAAGCAAAGAAATAGTGCAGAAAGTTTTCCTAAAACTGAAATTTTAAAAATCAGCATGAACCCAGGACAATGAATCAAAGTAGATACATGGCTATGATTGGTATAGTTCAGGATGCTAAAGATAAAGAAAAGATCATACAAAATTAAGAAAGTTAATATTTTAAAAATTATATACAAAGAATCATGGATCTAACTTCAGGTTTTCTGCAGTAGACTGATAATAAAAAAAGCAACAGTAGAATGCTTTCAAATTTATCCAGGAAAAATATTTTTTCAACTTAGAATTCTATACTTAGTTTCTATACTTAGCAAAACTATTAATTATTTATTAGGGTATAATGAAAGCATTTTCAGACATGAACTATCTCAAAAAAAAATTGACCTCAGTCACCCCTTCTTTAGAAGACACCAAAAATAGAGAGTAAATGAAGGAAAGGGAGAACACATGTTAGAGACATCAGGAGATTCACCATGGAGAGAGAAAAAGGGAATCACCAGAAGGTGAGAGAGCTGGGAGGAATCTTGCATTAATAATTGTGCTGCAGACACAGAGGCCTGCCTATCAGTCCATATTGAAATAGTGTGACTAAAATTACAGATACGCTGAGGACTGTCATAACCAAAGTCCTCACTGCCATTGTACTATCTTTTAAACCCAAAGACAAATTTTGCAGCTTAGCCTGGCCCATATTATTATTCACACTTTGCTTGGTCACAAACTGGTGAAGTTCTTCTTGTACCTTTCATACCCTGTTCTCTAAAATGACTCGGTACTCTTTTCTCTCTATGGAAGTATTCTGCTTAAATTTATATCTGAAAGTTAGAAATAAGCCAAAATAAGCCTATAATCTGAATACATGGAACAGCCACAGCCCACTTCCTCTGAACAAGTACTTTGGGACCACATTACAGTCAGGTGCCATGATTCTGTTGCACACATGTGTTGTATACATTCTTCTATATATTTTATAATAAACACGCATTTAAAAGTATTGTGGTGCTAAAAATTCTTTGAAATAATTAGTGCTTTATACATACACCCATTCTATAATAGCAATAAGGACATCATACTTTAAAAATATAACTTAGTTGCAAAGTATTTAAAACACTGCAATCAATAAAATATTATCATCCCTTTTACATATTTGTAAAATAATATATGTCCTCTTAGTGTTCCATAGTGGTTAGGGTTATCAGCTATAAATATTTAAATATCTCTTTGGTGTTCTCAGAGTGGTTCAAATTATTTAGGTATGTTAAATGAGAATATAAATCCTCAGTGTTTTCATCCTGATTTGGGTTATTTAGCTGTGGCTTATGTGCCTCCATTGATGACCGAGAGTTTAAGGTTATGTTGCTGATTAGAATACGTGTCCTCTTCCTCTCTCTTACAATTTCAATGTACTTCAGAGAATAATGCTTACTCAAATATACTGCCTTCCCAGAGAAGAGATGCTCTTTCAAAGTTAAATTTTACTTTAAAGGTAATTATAATTTATTGGAATTAATATTAGTACCTCATATTGCATAAGCCCCACAGTAGAAAAATATCTGTTTTGGCAATAATGTAGATACCTTTTAGGACATTGACAAAAAGTAATACTATACATTGTTTATATATTCTATATTACTTGAAAAGTTGAGGGCAGCAGGTTTTTTACACTCTTCAAAGTTCACTAATTTAATTGAATTAAATAAATGTCAAATTTTTGCAAAAATTTAAGTAACTATTTAGTGATTAATTAAACATAATTAAAGTTGTCATTTCCTGCCTATCATTTAAGATTGGATAATACAATACGAAACTGATTTTTAAAAGTGCTTTAAAGTCTAATTAGAATCTGATTTATAAAAAGCTTAATATTATCCAAAATCTGAACATTTTTATGAGGTATGTTATTTGAGGATATTTGCCACCAAACCAATGCTGAGATTTTTAGCAGTGCTTTGTGCAACTCTCTAAAATTATATTTTGAGATAATTATCATTGACATATGAATTTTAACTTAAAATGACCATGAGACTAGAAATTTAGAAAACACTTGGATATTTAATTTAGATGTCAGGCACTTTGATTATGCAACTTTTGTGAGTTAAAAAATACTTCACAGAACTTCTTATTTTTTTCTTTCTGTCAGTGGTTCTGATTATAATTGTTTTGCTTAGCAAAATATATGTTACAATTTATCATTTTAAAAAGTTCCTATTGGTATGTGAACATCTATGCCACATCATCACTAAGTGGAATATTAGACCTATCTCTTTCTCTGTTTTATGCTGAATTACATTAAATTATCAATGTGCAAGGAATTATTAAATAGCATATGAGTTGAACTTTAAATGTTAGTGATCACTGTACAGTCTTATACAACCTAACTTACAAAGTCAATATCCTCTCATTGAAAAGGTAATATCATGTCTGTCACCTCTAGAACTACTGTTTGTCTTATTTTAACTGCTCTGAACTTAAGATTACTTTTTATATCCCAGTCCAGCTTTTCCAGATCTGAGTAGGTCCTCCCCCAAGCATTTTTCTTCTTTTCTTCAGGTAGTTGGGAAGTGGCCATCCTTGATGATCTAGAAATATTTAGGATATGTGCTTCTCTTAATGTAAAGAAGTATATGGTGCATTCATTACACATACAAGAGAAAAATGAAAGACAAAGCTGAAAGTAAAATGAACATAGTTTTAATGATTTTTTTTAATTTTGTGCATTGGATTCAAACAGCAAACTGTGTGCACTCAACTGTTATCACAATGTTGTCAAGAGGTCTGTGTCTTTTACCATTTTACACACAATTGTTCATTACAGTATGTTGTCAGCCTCGTGGAAACCAGGGGTGTGGCATGGTAAGCAGTGGTGGTAGTGCACCTAGCTTTTATATTATCTAACTTGAAAATATTTCTCTTCTATGATTCCTTTTTTCTTGATAAAAATAGTTTTCACCAAACGTTGGTGGTGCACACGCACTACCATTCATGCTTGACATCACACCCCTGACAGGAACACATGTTCTTGTTTTGTTGATAAAAAGTATTACAAAAATTTCCATACAAAAACTATTTTCATAGAAATCTTGCATTTCCACAAATAAACCTGAACATTTTTTGAAAAAAAACTGTTCAAGAATTTTGTTCATTTAACATTGTGACTGTATTGATAAACGCAGTCCACTTCCAAGTTCTCTCACAGATTTTTCTATAGATGACCAGTCCCCTTTCTCGTATCACTGAAATCTGCCCATGCTCCATCAAGTTCATTTACAGCAGGAACAAGGGTTTGGATTGCTATGTCTGAATGTTAGAATGAAAGCTTTAGTCTTCCACACAGCCAATACTCGGCCAGTTTTTACAACTTGAACATTGCAAAACATTATCCTTTTAATTCAGAATCACTGAACCAACTGCTTTTATTATTATTATTATTATTATTATTATTATTATTATTATTATTTGGGATATGGGGGTTAGAGAAAAGGTGTTGGGGGAATAGGAAGGGATCTGGTAGAATTGCATGTTAAATCTTCTGCCTTAGGGAACTTAAGAAAACATTATTTCCTTGATAATTGGCATTTCTATCTCAATCAGTGACACAGACTGTCAAAAAAAAAAATAAGAAAAGAAAAAAGGAAAATAAGTGATGAACATCTGCTTTATATTCCAACTGCCATGGGATTCAAATTTGTTTTGCATTACATTTTTTCACATCCTATAAACACATACTTTGCATTCAGACAATAATTATACTGAGTAGTTGGGGGCTAGTAACATCATCACCTCTATGATCTGGGTGTTCAGAAGACTGTACTGTTTCCTGTAACACTACAGTTTTTGCTGATTCCAAATATTTATATTCTTAGTGACACTTTTATTGGTTGCCCTGTTGGGCATTGATATTCCATCTCCTGGCAACAGTTGAGCTTCAAAAGGAACCTGTAATTTCTCACTGGACTGCATTTGAAATCAGCCACAAAATGCGCATGTTAACATTCACTCAGAAGAAGGGAGGAACCCATGATTAACAGTGTAACCCCGTGTAACTTGGTTGATCCATGATGCTTGTAAATCAAGTCTGATCATTGCAACTGCTTAGATCACAGAGTCTCTAGTTCATAGACACAGCGGCATGAGGTAACTCATTTTATTTTGCACAGGTTGCATATTTCCACAGGAAACATTCTGGCTAAATTGTTTGGAAAAAGACGACAGTTTGTGCTTGGGTGTTTGGCCTCCCAGCTTTATGCCATGGTTTCTTTACCTGGCAACCTTCTGTCGTTAAATGTGTGCATGTTGATAACTTCTTCTGTTTTCACAATAACTGGGGCCTGTGGCTTATGTTTTAACCGACGCTGGCACTTCAGGGACATCCTCAATTCTTCTACCATGGCACTACAGAAGGACCTCTACAGAAGAACACAGAAAAATTAAATATTACAAGATACATAAACTGTAACTGTCCAAGATCAATATTAAAATCATCCTCAACAGACTTGTCACATAACATCCTTGAAGGTTTGAAAATTTTCATTGTAAAAGTTATAACAAATGTCACACTTTAAACACTCAACCCATGATAATTAAAATATTCTATAAAAGTGGGCTAGTTTAAAGAAAATCTCCACCCGATACTGAAATGAACAACCAGCTAGTAATGTATATATTACACATATATTAAATAAAATTTTCCTATGACATTATATAAAAATGATTAGCATGACATAGACATCTACTTTAAAATTTAAATACAATGACAATTCTATACCAGAAACCCATTCTTGATACAAAAAAATAGACAAATCATACTACTTTTCAGATCACAAGATGAGATATGCAAATGTTGTTTGAACATTGATTCTTCATTGTACATCTCAAAACAAAGATAGCACTCACACAGACATAAAATATGGAAAACAATTTCTGGCATTTCATTATGTCTTTTTTGTGATTATGCCTATAGAAACATTGACAGTGATTACAAACAAATATGACTTAATCATGAAATGACAAATTATAGCATGTTAGACATCTACAAACAAATATTAACTTTTTTGTCATCATTAGCTTGATAACTGAGAGCTGATAATTTATCAAATGAGAAAAAATATGACCCTATGTTGCTTTTGTCTTAGTTCCCATCTCATTGGAAATAGATTTGCTAGAACCTCTGTTTATCTGGGGCTTATTGTTACAGCTCCTCAAAATTTATATTGTAGAGTCATATATATGAAACAAAATTTTGTTAGTGTCTCTCCCCAACTGATTGAGATACATGTGAAGACTTATTTGTGCGTTAGCTGCTTTATTGATTATGAACTTAGACTATTTCTAAGACAACATGATGAAAATATTTAAGACCATATGTGTGTCATTTTCCGATACATATTTACAGTTAGGCAGGAAGAAAAATTTCAAGAGCTCTGTTCCACAGCATGGCCACTATAGTTAATAATAATATATTATTGAAAAGTGCTAAAAGAGTGAATAAGTGTTCTCATTGCAAAAATAATAAATATGTGAGGTAATGCATTTGCTAATTAGACATATCTAACCATTCCACAATGTATATATACATCAAAACACGTTATATATGATATATACATACAATTTTATATGTTAACTTAAAAATACATTTAAAAAATTGTTTTCATAACAGTTTGTGCCAGTCTAAACATACTTTGAATTAATTAGGTATCTGTGTGTCAGAGAAAACTGATTCAGAGAGAGGTTGGATAACTTTCTACAGTTCACACCTAAGATTCCAGCAACATATCCTGATATATCTAGTTTTATGATTTTGACACTGCTCTATTACCTTCCTGTCAATCTCTGGCTATATCCTAATTTTCCTTTGATGGACTCCTTAAAGAGTTTCCTTAATGGTCTTCCTAATTCTACGTCTACGCCACTCTTCTGTAAAGGTTCACAATTACCCGGATAATCTATTTTTAAAATATCAATTATTAATAGCATTTTCTCCTTTAGGAAACAAGTCAAACTCAAATCTATTATTTTTTTCCATCATGACTTCTCTGATCTAGCCCTCTTCTCCCTTCCCCACTGCTTCCATCTCTCTCTCTTTCTCCTCACACTCCCTTTATTGGTGGGACTTCCATTAATATTTTTCCTTTGTTTCTCCTTGTTCTGGTACCCTGCTGAGTTCTTTCATCTTTCACATCATCCCAACTTTATCCCCTACCTCAGGACATGGCTCAAGTTTTAACTTAATTAGGAAGCCCTTTCCACTTGACCAGGCACATTCTTTTGTTTTCACAACTTGATTTTGTTTTATTCTGTCAGTATTTTCCACTCATTATCCTGTTTTTCTGTCTGGCCTGCCAGTGCTCTATGTATCTCTCTCCCTGAATTGTGTAGAGCAGAGGTCAAGTTCTCACGGCACTGCTTGTACACACATAAGCTCTTTAAATGTTGATTGAATTAACAATAGATACACAGGACTCTAATATTTTAATTCTTATTTAACAATGTTTCTAATTCAATTGCTTAAAAAATTTTCAGGTTTAGAAACCTAGTGAAAATATATTGCATACAATTAATTTTGCCTAATAAAATTAGGCAAAACTTTAGCATTTGTTTAATAACATTAAATTAATAAAAATATTAATATATTAGCACTTGTAATGGGTGATGATTAAATGTGACTTGTGAATTCCCCATTAACTACAGAGTCATTGCCATGCATTATGTATTATGTGTTAAATTATGCAGTTCTGCAATTCATGAATTATATTTCTATTAAAGGATTTATGTGGCACCTGACAGCCAGTATATGGAAACAGTGTTTCTTGTTGCTTAATACCTACTATTAGATGTACTTATTAAGAACATGATGATAATGATGATGAAGATGGTGATGATGACAACACTGTAGAAATGGAAACTGACTCCAAAATAGGGAGGAATACATAGTCTTGAGGTAACTTAGTCTTGGCTCTCTGTTGAAACATTTAACAGAAGAATTAATTAGATGACATAACATGGTCAAAACTTGATCCCGTTGACATTTAAAATTGTTATAGGACGTGTAACATTGAATCGTTTGAAATAAACCTTCATTTAAAACCAATAAATTTCCCAAATCTTCAAAAATTTATGACACCTTCTTCTTGGCAATCTCAATTTTCAGATATTTTGGTTACATTACTTTCAAAACAGAATAGAGTATAAATGTTAATTAATAATTTGCCTATAGTAAGGGAGTAGGCTAAGTAACTAACTTTCTTAGGAAAAAATCTTACACATGTGCATACAAGCTCAACTATGAAATGACTCAATATTATTTCTAGCAATTTAAGAGGTAAACTCTGTGTTTAGTACCCCATACTTACTTCAGACTACAAATAAGAACATTTAAAACCATTTTAAGCAATTTCATATAATATTAAGTTTATATTGCTGAGTAATAGATAATGTAAATTGAAAAAAGCCCATTCTAATCAATTACCAGAATAGTATTATCTTTTATAATTTGAAATTGTCTTAAATAAATTATATTTACAAATTTTACAACTATCTCAAAATTGTAAACATGTAAATCACCATTGTCGTCATAGACTTTATTTAGCTTACAAAGCCATTAGAAAGTAAAAATTTAATCAAGCAATCTTTCATAAGTCAATCAATGGTCTCGATTACATAATGACAAAATACAAATTTTATTAATTTTCTCTTTGAATAAGATGAATTTTGCCAGCTCTTTTGTTATTTATCAATGTAAGTTTACATGAAAAATAGGTTTATTTAGGTTATTGATAAAGTTACTGTGAGACGATAGGTTCTTTTCTCATTTGTAGAATAATTCTAACCCATTTTAAAACTTGATAATCTTTAGATTTGAGCAAGATTTTACAATTAACATGGCAAATTAAACAAATTCAAGGATATCACAAAGAACTGTTCATTTATGGTACTAGAGCAAATATACATTCTTTTCTTTTTGTTTAAAGGTTTACAAGGCAAATTCCATATCTTGATTTATATAAGTCTCTAAAGCTGAAACTATACAGAGTTTTGTGAAATATAATTGTTTCCCTGTGCTGTACATTGCCCAAAATTTACTGTGTCTAACTTTTAAGTAAAATTCTAACGTATTATCATTAAGTAGAGACAAATTGTCTTTTATACTTTATATAATGATTGAAATTTATTTTAAATCTTTTTATTGGACTATGAAATAAGTCTCAAAACCCAAGTGCACTAGGCAGTAATTTTCCTGGTTATACTAAAAAAAGAAGAAAGAAGAAAAGAAGTGGAGAAAGAAAGAGAGAGAGGGAAAGAGAGAAAGAAAGATGGACAGAGAAAGAGAGAAAGAAAGAAAGGAGGGAGGGAGAGAGAGAGAGAGAAAGGAAAGAAAGAAAGAAAGAAAGAAGGAAGGAAGGAAAGAGGAAAGGAAAGAAAGGAAAGGAAAGGAAGGAGGAGGAGAAGGAGAGGAGAAGGAGGAGAAGGAGAAGAGAAGGAGAAGGAGAGGGAGGAGAAGGAGGAGAAGAAGAAAGGGAAAGCTGGAGGGAAGAAGAAAGAGAAAGACAACTATCTTGCTTTTAAAATCACTATTTAGGGGTGGAAACCCACGCACTGTGTCATTAAATAAGGTCAGTTCCTTAGGATGAAAACAACAATAAAAATGTTTCTCCACATTAATATAACAGACTACAAAAAGAAAAAAGAAAGGCACAAGGATACTAACCATTATTAAAAACCTCTTTTAGTAAGTTTCAAAAGATTACTAAACAGTGTCTGGATGGTATGGTGGCACTAACCAAATAGAAGATTCCTGAAAATGAAAATTTAAATCTTTGAGCTGTTAGCATGTATAATTGCATTTAAATTAGTAAAACTCTTAATAAAATTCATTATATTTAATTAGTCAATTTATATTTACACATCTCTAATTCTTGAAACAATGTAGATCTGGAAATCTTGATAGTATGAACTTGGCCATATTTACATTGCTTTTTTATAGAGCTTTTTTTTTTTAAAGAGCTCTATTTTGTATTTTGGATGTAATAAGAAAATACATAAATAGTCCACAGGTAAATGTTTTCAAGAATATCATTGTTGATGTTACAGAATATTTATTCTTAAAAGCTTAACTTCCTAATTAAAAGATATATTTTTATAATAACATGATGTGACAGCATTTGGAGAAGCACAGATTTCTTTTTATATTAGAAGTGTAGTTGAAATCATGCTCCACATTGATAATTGACATATGTAGCTTCATTTTAAAGTTAAAACCATTATGTTTAGCAATATACTTATTTTTGAAAAACAGTATCTGAAGAAAAATAACCAGCATGATTTAACTTTTATGCTCATCACTCTCTTTTTGAATATATGTATTCATTGGTCAAGAAATATCATAAAATATGTTACTTTCAAGCCTGCATTTAGTATTTATTTTTAAGGAGGAAATCCTATTTTGTGTATCTCGCTGGCCTAATTTTGATAGTATAAAATAACTAAATGATATTTTAGTATTCATTCAGAATAATTCCTAACCATTTCTACATACAATTTCTACTTATCCTACTTGGAGCCTACCAAAATTTGAGCTACTCCTATCAATGGTATCTATAAGATACTATTGTACCTCAGTGGTCTAATATATTCTAGTACATATCAACCAAACTTTTATTTTGTGTTTGTCATTTAAATTATTTGTTAACTAATTATGGATATACTATATATTCTTAGACACTCTCCAATTAATTTCTGACTCTATAGGCCATTTGCCCAAGAATAGTAAGTCACATGTAGTGGAAACAAATCAAAACAGTCACTGTGATTAGTTGCAGAAAATTATTCTACCACATTAGATAATAATAATAACTAAAATGGAAAAAATATTCATAGGATATAAGATATAATATTTTACATAATATTGGTGTGTTAAATAACAAAAATAAATGTCATTTAATGTGACCCGTTAAATTTTTTCTTGTGAATATAACTGTTTTGATTGGCAGCCTTTTAAAAACATCAAACAGTTAATGCTATACATCAGAAGTATGAATTGACCTAAGGCTATATGAATATAACAGTGAAGCAATGAAAGATGGAAAATGACTGGCTAAATCACTCATGTTAAAAAAATATATACAACCTTGTTCTTGATATTTGGTTTTAGAGCAGCTATCTTTAAAAAAAAGTTTTATTATTTACATAAGCTATTCAGCAGTCAAAAGAAACTTTACATGTAGCATCTTTCGTGATCCTACTGATCACTGTAGTTTTATAGCTAGAAAAAATTAAAACTTAAGAAGTCAAGTTATATATCTAACTAGTCTCAGAGCTAAGACAGGAACTCTATTATCTTAACTTCCATCTATGAAAGCTTTATCATATTAGCCTGCCTTATTAATGATGATTTCATTCTCAGCTGAGCTTTTTACCTGGACTCTATTCTTGCTAAATGTAAATTTTTTGAATACTAAATTATACAGCAGACAGAAAAAAATTATGAGGGCAAAAGAAATACATATCTTTCTTAGTGAATTAAATTATAAATCATGTTATGCTTTAGCCTGGATTATTTCACAATGATAAACATTATCAAATATTAAAATATTCTCAGAAACCTTTACTCTAACAGAAACAGTTACCCAATATCCTCATATTGTATTTTGCAAACACAATGGGATGGAGAAAAATTGAGGATCATTATACACTTTTAAATTTCCCCTACTTAAGCTAGTTAAAAAAAAAAATAAGGTCTGACAACACAACTTTAATCAATATAGCTGTGAAATGCATTTTTAGAAAAAATAATACTAATCATCACATTTTTGCTAGTAGTCATAATGATACGATTTTTTTTAAGAGTTACATCCAAATAACTAATGCTTAAGCTAGAAAACTTTCTTTTCATAAGGTGTGGCAGTTAAAATGTATCAGCTTTACAAATAATAATAATGATATTATTTTTAAAAGAGCTGCTTGTTATAAGCCAGTTATGTGCAAAGAAGCCCTCTATGTATATTAACTATCTTAATTAATTCTTAAAACACCGTTTTTATGGATTCATAACTTGTTTATTCATTGTTTCATTTATTTATTTATTTAAAAAGAAGAATAGAGAGGCTAAGTAATTTTATCTAAGGTTAAACAAAGTTATGTTTCCAAGTCTTTTTAATTCCATAACTCATGCTTACTATCTAGGAAGGTGAAATTATTAGGCTGCTTATGACCAAAGCCCATAATCTGTTTATCTAATTCAAACTCCTAATCCATATATTTCCTTAGTGAAAAATTCAAGGAGGAAGAATAGTTAAATATTCTGCCTCCATTCTGTACAGCTTGATATGGTTGAAACACTGTTAGACTAGGCATCTTTGAACTTGGAAAACAACTTCACCCTTGAGATACTTATTATCCTCATCTGTACTATATAGATGATAATATTTACATGGCTCTTAGGGTAGTTTTGTATTCAAATGTGGTATTACACTTTAAAAACTAAAGTCATTTATAAAAATAAGGTGGTAAAATTATCTATTAAGCTATTATTTTAATTAAAAATAATTATTTGTGGGGATACAAAGAGTATGGGTTATCATAAACAAATGACCTAAAAATCCTTTAGCTGATTTGGAAGTAGATCAGTAAGCAAAATGAAGATTGACACCTCATTTCAAAGTACAGTATTTTATATTTGTATATCAAGACATTTTAAAAATTCATCCAATTAGTCATTATATAGATCATTCATGGAAATTGAAAGACACTCAGCTCTCAAAGAAAGGCAGTGATATAAAAACAATAAAAAAATTGACATTTGTCCAAAGTTTATTTATACTTTTTAACTTGTGAAGAACAAGTTAAAAAATTAATACATAAGGTCTGACAAGAATCAACACAACTTTAGTCAATATAGCTGTGAAACGCATTTTAAGAAAAAGTAATATGATATTATTATATAATTATGCTTTACAGCTATAATTTTTACACTGAAAATTTACTTAGAAATTTTAACTTCTGTAAAATTAAGTTCAGCTAAAATTTCTTACATCAAATGTAATTAATAAAAAGTATAGATATCTTATAGTTTCTAAAAAGGCATTACTGGGCAAAACATAAATATTGACATAACATTTTTACTGATAATTTATAACACTGTTTGCATTCCTATACCTTACCCCAAAAGTATATTCTTCTAAAAAGCATTGCTCCTGTTAGAACTAATTATTTAAAATTTTAACAGCAGCTTATACGTAGCTATCTGTAAACAACCTGTTTTCATTCTTCTGTTTCCATGAAATACAGAATTAGTTGGCTTTGCTACGTGTTTTCCTTATAAATGACCTTTAAAATAGGATCCCTAGTCTTGCGTGTTTAAACTAAACCCTCTGATTTTCTTCTTATCATCCCCCAAATTGAAATGTTTTGTTCATTTGTGCTTCTACTACTCTGATTTATAGCTGTATTCCAAATTGGTTATTCCTCTAAACACTGAAGAACATTCTATGTTCCCTCACAAAATGTTTTTGAACTATCAGTGCACCAGAAAAAAATATAATTATTTAGAGATTGTCTTAGGTAAAATTTGCCAGTGTTCTATAATAGAAACAGCTACATTGACCAAAGTAGACTATGTCCTAAAAAAACAACAATACCACATAGATTTAAAAATACATTTTAACCATTTTAAAGACAACAAAAATGTGTGTTCAAGATGGGACACCTATTGCACAAATTCAGTATCTGAGCAATAATTTATATATATATATATTTTATTTCTTAGACATATTTACTTAATTTACACTTAATAAGAAATGGAGTGCTTTTGGCTTCATCTTAAGATTTTTTTTATGTCAGGAAACTCAATAATTTATATCCAGACAGTTCAATAAAAACAATTTGTATAAGCAAATACATTTTCAAATACATGGGAAAAATATTCTTTCTATATACAAAACACACAAAAAGAGATCAAACTATAGAAGTTATGTTGCTGTTCTTGCTGAAAACCTAAAAAAAGAAAAATTATGTATGTCTGTTAAAAGTAGACATATGCAAATATTTAAGAAATGCAGAATTTTAAACAATCCATGTTATAAAAAGTTTATAAAAATTAAAATTATTATATCTTATAATTCTTGCTTACAAAGCCAACATATTATAAATATTATCAGAGAAAACAACAAAATTCAGTATATTAAGCAGCTTGTTATAGCCAAAAGTAAGTCTTAGAAGAGGGACACAAGATCTTTCAACCAAATCCATACACCCAAAGTGTGATAATTGTCTCAGATACACAACAGTTTCTTGGATTGCTTTCTCAGTGAAACTTCAGTAGAAATATCTTTAAAATCACAGAAGAGATAAGGCAAAAAGAAAAATAATTATAAAATGCATGTGTTGATTAGTTACCTTTTCAGACACATTCAGATGAGAAAAGGTTCTGAGTATTTTAAAAGTTTGAATAAATAAAAAGCAATGTGTCCTTGAGGCATTAATATTTACATCACAATTAAAGCCATTTTTTATAAAAATTATGATACACCATCTTGTGGTTATCTGAAAGGAATGCAATTTCCATTTTTAAATGCTTGAAGGTCCACATATTTCAGCTTTATTTTCTGTTTTTATTTTTAACCTGCCCTCATTTAAAAATGTGAAACTTTGCATATTAATCTTTATCCAACAACTTATGAGAAAGCCTATCATTATCAAGAGCTATTTGTTTTCACTAGTATTTACAATATGTATTATAAAAGGCATTTTATTTTCACCCATAAATTAATATATTATAATTTTATCATCATTAAAAGTAAGACTTAATATGGAAAGATATTCATTATTTATAAATTTTATTCACAAAGTTCACATTCAGCTAAACTTCATATATATTATATCTGACATATCTGACAAACTATTTAGTCACCAATACATTCGTGCTTTCCTTCAATGGGCAAAACACAATTCATTGTAGACTTATTTATCAATAAATATTTATTGAGTAAATAATGGATCTCACAAGTGTTTACCTTATTTTTGAAATATAAGACATCTAGGTTAAAGACACAATTATGATAAGTAAAAGTAAACTGAATTTCTGTATGTTCTCAAATGTATGATAAAATCTAGGACTATCGTATGGCTAATTTTAATAAATTAAGTAATGTGTTAAACAGCCATATAGATCATATAGACCAACCTAAATTTTCTTAAGAAAAATGAAGAACTGAGCCCAAGAACCTAATTTATCAGAATAAATAAAATGAATCATTTCCATTAAATCCATAATTATTTAATTTACTATTTTGAATTGTATAGAAAAATAATTTGTTTCTTTATGATACTTTTCTTAAAAAGTTACTGCAATCAACTTCATTCTTAATTTAAATGATAGGTAGATAGGTAGGTAGGTAAATAGATAGACAAATAGATAGATAGGTAGATAGATATTATGCCACCAGGCACTAATTGAGGCCTTGGAGATACAAACAAAAAATACTAGGTATTTGTCCTAACAGCAAGAAGAATTTAATATGTGAAAAGGCACCCATACACAGAAGCCAACAAACAAGAATACAATACTGTTAATGGGATAATGGAGATGTGCTTAGGGGTTCGCAGCGTGAAGATATCTAGACTTAATGCTGAAAATGGTTTGAAATGAGCAAAATACCTTCCCAGCTTTCTCAAAAGGAGATACATGTTTTTAGATTATGACAGTACCTGAAATAAACTAAGTATAAAGATGAGATATATGAGTCACATTTTTTTTCATTGCAATAGGAAATGAAAATCTACTTCCACTTCTTAGAAACAAGCTATGCTCTGTGCCCAAACCCATTATACCTTTTGATTAGGGAAAGCTTTCTGGGCAAGTTAATGTCTCATTTTAAGTGCCTAATATAAAATGTTTGTGAGAGTTTGCAAGGTAAAATAATAGACAAGATTTACTCCAGTCAAAAGGGAGAGTATAAACTTGGGAAATTGAGAGTTAAAATGTAGTGTGGCTGTAGTAAAGGTGCAAATTGGAGAGGAGCAAAAGATAAAGCTACAGCAGTGGACAGGGACAGGTGTGAAAGGGTCTCATCTGCTAACCTAAGGAATTTGGATTTCTTTGTGGCAGCTATGTAGAAACAGTGTGCAAAGCATTGTGAAGTGACTATAATGCTCATGTAATATCCACTCAGTTATTTCTTTCTAGTGCAATGTTAATGCTTCATTGTTTCCGTTTGAAAAGGTACATTAATTTTATTTTTCTAATTTTTAGAGGATCATATAGATCCATAGAATGTCAAGAGATCTGGGTAATATCTGAAAAATTCAACTAAACGTGTTCGTAATAACAATGAAGCACGATACGTTACAAAATTAAATCCTCGCATCATTTGTTTTTGTTTTAACCAGATACTTGTAAAACAAAACTGCACTAAAGATACGGCCTAGCTAAATCAAATGAATGGGACACATAGAGGTAAGCACAATAGAATACCACATATCATCAAGAGACTAATTCGTTTTACTTTAATACTGAGCTATAACTTAAAGAAAATTATTACATATGGATTATTTGAGGTTCCAAGTAGAAAACCCATATTTATTCTATGATTTTCATTCTTATATTACACATTAATGCCTTAAATACCACATTTACTGACAAATTAAACCTGAAATGATAATTAATGAGTTAATATTTCTTCTTTGGTTAGCTCTTTAGATTTAGTTTCAAAGTTCATTTTGACACTTTAAAAATGATTATAACATAAAAAGTGTACTTAGACACACAAATGCAACCAATATTTGAGTTAGCCAAGCAAGCATAAATAACAACCTGAATGTGTTGTGAAAACAAATCATGTTATTTTCTGAATTCTTCAAAAACTTTAATTTGTTATTTCAGTCATAGACAAAATGGGGTTATAAAAATATACATTTATGATAACATTCCTCAGTGTCAAGTACTGTAATCAAGCAAAAATGTACAAATACTGTATCCAAAATTCTGATTCCAGGAAGGATAAATAATTATGACATAAGTTATTAGAGATAAAGGAGCATTTTTATTTTCAAAAATATTTCTAAAGGTACAAACACTTCAAAGAATATTAGAAAAAATATTTACCTGGTATTCCTGTATGGCATTATTTTCAAAATACCTCTTTTTCGCTCTTTGTATTTACCAACTAAAGTTCATAAACCTCTTAAATATTAAAGATTATATCATCTCACTCTGCCACAGTGGTTAAAGTTAAGTCTAAAATATTGTGAGTTTCTTCAAAAACAAAAGAGATGTTTACATACAAAAGATTAAATAATGTACTAGAAGACTTTAAACTGTTGGTTTTGTCATATCCAGAGCAATGAATTTGCATACAAAAAGTATCATGTAGCATCTGAAAGAGTTATTTTCCTAGTCTTCATCATATTTATAAAAATGAGGAAATTATAGCACTAGAAATATAGAATCTGAATGAGGTGACAAACTTTTCAAGGATAATACAAAAAGCATTTATACAAATGACTGCATTCAAATGCAAAATATAGCAATAGCCTCAATATTTTTGAAGTTTATACATATTTTTAGAAGGACTCTGGTACAAAAAAACAAAGAACTGATTAAGAATACTATTAAATGGCAAAAAGAAACTATACTATTTTCACACACTCATTAATGTAGAAAATTAACTGTAATTTCTCCAGTGAAAGCTAATATCTTTCTTAAACTAGAAATTTATTGGACTAAAGCTATTCAGATAAAAACTTACTCTCTAACTTGAAACTGTTAACCCATATTGTATATAAAACCTCATTTTTAATCTGCAGAGTATTTTTTCTTTCATATTAGTTTCTAATTTTTACTCACTTAATTAACTGTATCTCATCATATACCACGATGAAATTCAAACAACAAAAGTTTATTTTTTAAGTCTGTAATAAGAGTAGAAATAGCTATTTTTCCTGAAGCTGGCTACAATTAAACATATTAAAATTAAATAAAAAATCATAAAGGTGACCATGAGTCTTTCTGTGAAATTTCACAAAATATAATATTTTGTTATGTAATGAATGACATAAGACAATTTAGAGCAATAGTTCTATGCATTATCATTAGTTGGTAACATAAAAACTCTTTTGGTTTGTGTTTTATTGTAACAACAAAAATTGTTTTAAATTTAAACTGAAACAAGTAACATTTACCTTTTCCAATTGAGCGTTTTTTTTGGATTTGTATAAAAATTCTCCCACTGCCACAAAAACTGAAAGCACCAAGCCGGCTGCCAGAACAATGAAGATGCCACCAATATTCTGAACCCCCAGGGCACTGGCCTCTTTGCTCTCCTCTTCTGGGCAACCATTGCCCCTCCACCATTTCTCCTTCATCATATGCAGTTTGCCTTCCTCTTGCAGCTGAAGAATTGCTATGGTAATTTTGTCTCGATATGGAGAACCTAAGAAAGGAGAGGTTATGTTAAGTATTTCAAGGAACCTGAAATTTCATAATTAAAGGTTAGCAAGATGAGAGGAGGGCAGAGATTTTTCAAAATGCTTCAAAGTGTGCCAATGTTTTTTCAGAAGAGAAAAACAACTGGAAAAAACACATAGACGTTTAACAAGATCATTAAAATGGATAGCCTTGCTAGATATTGAGGAATTAAATGAATTTTGTTTTAAGAAAGAATATGTCTCCTAAAAGGTGGACTCAGCTTACAGCATTGTAAAACAGTAAGAAAGAATCCACAAAGGAAAACGGATAGAGTGCAAAGATGTTTCATTCATATCTACAATTTATTCTACACTGAAACCAGAGCACTGATAAAACAGCTATCTCTATTTTTAGACCAGAAAAGTTGTGAAAAATTGGTGTTTCCAAAGATTAAATGCAGTAATTTAAGGGAATAATTACTAATAAGCTGTATTCAATGGTATCTTTTACTTAGCAGATAATGGGCAGTCACTAGTATCTGTTATGTGATGTGCATAACAGAAGTCACAGGTTGTATGGACTTAGATAATTTAAAAATCATTATGGTGATTTACTTTATAAATCAAGGGGCATACAGCCACGTATTGTAAACATTTGGGGCGTTGTTCCTTTATCAATTTATTTTATAGGAGACAAGGTTTTATTTTGTTTTTTTCCAGTGGAGGCAACAATATAAATAAAACGTATTGTTTATGCTAATGGAGGTACATACTCATCTGCATTAGATATTACATGATAAGTAATATCTGCTAATTCATTGACCAGAAACATATAAAAATATTGAAGCACATGCATTTTTCTATATCTGTTCCAAGGGATTGGTTTTATTCCTTTCCCCCACCCAGAAATAGCCTGCTTCTAAAGTGTGATCTTTTTCCTAAGACACTATACTGCACATTCCATTTTTTGTGTACAAATTCACCCATAGTGTTTTCCTGCTTCCAGAAAAATATTAAACATTTCAGCTTGTATTCAACATTGCCTGTAATTTTGTTTTGATTTAAATGTGTCCACATCTATACATCTCTTTTAGTGAGAGTAGGCAATGTAAAAGTAGAAAGACGAGAACCATAGAATGTAAGTAACCTGTTTAAAAAGTTGGACAAATGAAGATCTACCAAACTCAACTGAAAAGTTGTTTAACATCATCTTTTCTCTACTTAAAAGCTGTAGAAGTTTATGGCTTCTCTACATTTTTTACAGCCTTCCTAAATAGGGGCATTGCCCATTCCTATAATTAGAACTCAAATATTTTATTTTCATTATGCAAGAATTCTTAAGTATATTAGGGGAATTTCTGCTTCTCAGTTTCTCCCCTGTGCTCTTCTTAAAATACTAATCTAACATGAAGGTGCAGTGTAAATTCTGCCCCTTAACCACTTCAGATTTCAATATATTAGCCCAACTTATACTACTTTCTGTCTTGATCACTCACTGGGCATTCAGCCTAGGTTCCCTGGTATTATTATTTACCTGTTGAGATATGTTCTATTTTCCTAAATACATTACAAGCTTTTTTGTATGGAGGCTATCTATTATCTGTCTGTCTGTCCAATCAGTCCATCCATCCATTTATCCATCCATCCATCCATCTAACAGATATAGAAAGATGCATGTGCTTCATTATTTTTATATGTTTCTGGTCAACAAATTAACAAAAATATCACTTATGTAATATCTAATGCAGATGAATATCTACATCCATTAGCATAAACACTAAAGAACACTAATGAAACATCCATCCATCTGAATTCTCAATCATTTTTCAAATCATAGGCTCTCAGCAAATGTTTGCATATTCTGAGGAGCATAATAACTGACTAAAAGCATTTTAACATAACGTAAGAGCAATAACATGGTGCTTGAGTCTCTGTGATATGTAATAAAACACCATAAACTAAGGTCATTTTGCTTGACTATTCAGTATTTATTAATTTGCTATATCTAGCATGGTGCCAGTTGAAAGATCAATTTTATTCTGATAATGATATATTTTCCCTGCAAAATAAATGCTTACTTAATGGGGAAGAGTATCTCCATTTTAAACAGAATGATAGTTTATCAAATTTCTTTGAATTAGAAACAGTATATGCAACAAATCTTGTGTTGATAGTGTTTGTGAAAATGGCCACACCTGGTTATCAAAAAGTTGTAATTTCTTTTCTTTGTGTGTGTATGTATGTGTGTGTGTGTGTGTGTGTGTTGTTGTTGTTGTTGTTTGTCTTTGTAGACAGAGTCTCGCTCTTTCACCCAGGCTGGAGTGCAGTGGTGGGATCTTGGCTCACTGCAACCTCTGCCTCCCAGGCTCAAGTGATTCTCCTGCCTCAGCATCCTGAGTAGCTGGGATGACAGGTGCCCGCCACCTCATCTGTATTTTTAGTACAGAGGGGGTTTCACCATGTTGCCCAGCTGGCCTTGACCTCCTGAGCTCAAGCAATCCACCTGCCCTGTAAAGTGCTGGGATTACAGGCATGAGCCAAGGTGCCCAGACTGTAATTTCTTTTATATAAATATAATTATAAGCAAGATTTGTGAAGGGTGATTACTTGGAAAGTAGACTTTCAAATATAGAAAATTCTTAATCCACTTAAGTATTTATTTTGTGAGAGCTCATTTCTCATTTTGAGAACTATTGAAAGAATATAATATTATTGCCAACTCACTATATGCACCAACTGCACTGGGATGTCTATTCCAGTATCTTCAAACACTATATTCTCCATTACATTCTCAAGAACAAAATAAGACACAAATAAACAAAAGCAACCTACTTTTCAGCAAGTGAGACACCGCTTGACTTTTCGCCAGCTGAACTTCCTATTTCCAGCATTGAATGTGAATATACAAATTTCCCATTGCTAGCAAACCTCAGCACACTTGCTTTTATGAACATAGGAATGTTTAAATGATATTTGATTTGAATCAAATGTACAAAGTTAATGGGCTTATTAAGGTTTTAAACAAGATGAAATAATATAAGGAATATAATCAATGCCAATAAATCAATGACATGTTTTACTTGTCCTTCCATCATTGATCTAGTTTAAGTATTTTTTAAAAGGACAAGTAATTAAAAATGAATTATTACTTATTTGATACATAATTTGATGCTCCTTTGGAAGTATTTCTACAAATATGCCAGCTGAAGTCAAATGTGGACTGAAATTTCAGCTAGATGAAAAATCTCAAGGACACATTGAGACCAAAGAACGAAAGAATCTTCCATTCTCCCTGTGACATGAACAGCCATGCACTTAACTCTAATGAAGTGAACACTCATTAATTATGTAGATAGAGACAGTTCCTCCCAAGTTCAAACTCCCACATGAATCTGTATGTTGGCAAACAAAGAACTGATGTTGCTGAATGTCAACTGAGAGAAGCTCAGGAGTCACACTGTAAGGTCACCTTCAAGAAATATGTATATGTTTTCAAGGGGCCTCTAACTTTAATTAGAAAACACTAAGGAAATTATAAATGTGTCTATTAGAACATGCATCATTGTAACTTAGAGTCAATTTTCAAACTGTTAGGAGGACAGACAACCATAAATGAGTGGAGGAAGGTAGACAAAAATATCTGGAAAACTGCAACACTCAAAATAGACGGCCTTCAGTTGCAGTTTTACTAAAACCTTGTGAGACTATATGGTCACAGGGTGACCATATATTTTCACTTTTTTGTCAGATCATATGAAATATTTTGTCTAAAATTCACACATTTAAAACATTGACAAATAAATTATTTTAAAAAATTCAGGATAAACCCAACACTTTTAAAGCCAAATTAGGCCTTGAATCTTCATTTCAATCTCTAATCTTTGGTACTTTCTATATCGCTGCTCTCAGTGGGACTTTCTTTGATAATTTAAACAAATTCTCCATATTCACAGTAAGGAACTCATGTTTGTAAATTATCTTTTTACAAGTTGCCAAAAGATCCCTTTTACCAAGTAAAAAAAAGTCCTAGCTTGCAGAGAGTGGAAGGAAGGAAGGAAGGAAGGAAGGAAGGAAGGAAGGAAGGAAGGAAGGAAGGAAGGAAGGGAGGGAGGGAAGCAGGCAGTCATAGTACATACAGTTATTACATAGTGAAACCTCTTCATATGTCAGATGTATAAGACCTGATGCTCCAAATGAGCCCTCAAAGGAGGTATAGAGGCAGTTTCAAGTGACATACAATGACAGCGTATGGATGGGCACATAAAAACTACAAATGTATCTATCCAGAACTTCCTCAACAATAGAGTTATTGTCTCTAAATGTCCCTTTTATGTTAAACTTTAATCAAATATTTTTATGTAATATTGTGATTTCATGAGAATCTCTCCCAAGACATAGATTAAAACTCCTTAAGAGATTAAACTGTGATTATTATAAACAGTAAACACAAATCTCACCAAATATTTCAGAGCTAACTTGCTGGGTTTATTAAATTGAGTTATTCTTATCTTTCTTCTTTATTTCTTTCCTTGCTTCCTTCCTTCCTTCTGTCCTCCCTCCCTCCCTTTCTCCCTCTACCCTCCTTTTCTCCTTTTTTCCCTCCCTACTTTTTCATTCCTCTGTGTTCCCTTTCCTTTTTCTTTTTCTTTTTTTGCCTTTCCTGTACTCTCTTTTTATTTCTTATTCCGTTTTTTTTTTTTTTTTTTTAGACCGAGTTTTGCTCTTGTCGCCCAGGCGCTGGAGTGCAGTGGTGCCATCTTGGCTCACTGCAACCTCCGCCTCCCAGTTTCAAGTGATTCTCCTACCTCAGCCTCCCGAGCAGCTGGGATTACAGGCACCCTACGCCCAGCTAATTTTTGTATTTTTAGTGGAGACGGGGTTTCATCACGTTGGCCAGGATGGTCTCAATCTCTTGACCTCGTGATCCACCCGCCTTGGCCTCCCAAAGTGCTGGGATTACAGGCCTGAGCCACCGTGCTGGGGCCCTGTATTCTTTTGTTCCCTTCCCCTTCCTTCCCTAACTTCCACTTCCCTCCTGTGCTCTTCTCTCCCTTCCCCCTCTATCATTCTTTCCCTTCCCCCTTTTTTCCTTCTTCCTTTCTTTCCTCTCTATCATTCTAGGAACCTTACTTGTAGAATGAAATGTGCACGTAGTTCTAAATACTTAATTTTAAAGTTTAAGTCTATTATATACAATATATTGATTTATTTCTTCTATAGCCCTTTTACTACCCTGTACAAACTCTCAATTTTACATGCCAACATTTTTCTCTTTATCTTATTTCATTACGTCTAGATAATATAGGACTAATAAAGTAAATGCAGTCAGCATTTCTTTTAATTCTGAGGGAGGCTTATTCATTGATAAATAACTTTTCTTTAAAGGTTGCACAGCAAATTGTCCAATAATGAATATACTGAAATCACATTATCCTATATTTAAAAATATATACTGAAATCAATGTATCTTATATTTAACATGCTGAAATTGCATTATCTTACATTCTGGAAACCTCTCATTCAGCCTTTCAAATGTTTCTTTACTTTCAAATCAAGCTTCTGTATGCTTTAATCAATTACAAGGGTCAGAAACAAAATCATTCTTGCTTTTTATAATATATCTCCTTCTAAAACTCTTTACAACAGTATTTCCCAAACTGGCTATTCCCACATGCACTTCTGTTTTTGGTAAATGTACATCTGTTTGATTTGTAAAGGATTACTTGTACAAATAATCTTGATTAATACTACATATCAAATATATCTCATGCAAATTCACATTATACATTAGCAAAGTAAAGGCTTCCATCTATCTATTAAAGGAAAGAACAGAAAAAATTAAATAAAACTTGTTTCTAATGTTTAAATTTATTGTCGGGGAAGAATTTTTCCCTCTCGCTTATTAATGTCCCCATAAATTCTTTTCTTTTAAATTCAATTTGTATGGCTTTAGAAACAATAATTACTATTAATACTTATTGTAAAGTAAGATAACCTTAGATAACAATTACTATTGTTATTACATGTGTTCTCTCTGTGGAAAATATGTTGCCCCTTCATTAGATTTTTCTGTCTGACCCTATGTACTCTCCTTTCTGCCTTTGAACTTACATATTGTGAACTCACAGCTTACCAATTTGTATTTTTTGTAGGTTCCCTTTTTCATCTATTGCTCCATATGCTTCATAAGAATTCACAGCACACTGCTTGTATTAAAACACAGTTCCACAACTGGCTTTGAAGTCTATTTGCAAGATAATTTTGTGGGACAAGAGTTATAAGAACACTTTAAATATAGCTGTATACTAAAATTGATGAAACCAATTTTTGAAAAAAATAATAAAAATATGCTTTTTGTTCTTCCTTAATAGAACCCAAATCCTTCATACATTTTGTTAAAAGTCTAAAGGGCTTACTGGGTATTGCTTTTTTTTCATATGACATATCCTCTCTGGCCACCTCCGAAAGGACATTTGTTTCTTTTATTTTATATTCATTAGTTATTCAGATATTGTAATTATATTATATTACATGCTGTATATGACCTAGCATTAGGTAGTGGTTTGGTACTAGTTGCTCGCTTTGGTTCTGGGAAAATATTTTTATGAAGTAGACTACTAATAATATTACATTTCTTCTAGCTTGTCATTACTCCAATACATTATGTCTTTTTTGTTACAGCTATTCTAACTAGTGTGAGGTGATATGTCACTGTGGTTTTAATTTGCATTTCCCCAATGATTAACAATGGTGAATTATTTTTCATATATCTGTTAGTCATTTGTATGTTTTCTTTTGAGAAATGTCTATTCAGGTCCCTTACTCATTTAAATAATTTTTTCTTGCTATTCAGTTGTCTGAGTTCTTAATATAGTTTTGATTTAACACCTTATTGAGTGTGTGGCTTGCAAATATTTTCTCACAATCTCTAGGTTGTCCCTTCGCACTATTATTTTTTTTCCTTCCTTTGCAGAAACTTTTAGTTTGATGTAATCCCATTTGTCTATTTTTGCTTTTGTTGCCTGCACTTTTGGGTTCAAATCTAAAAAAATATTGCCCAACTCAATGTTGTATAGTTTTTGCCCTATGTTTTCTTCTAGTACTTCTACAATTTCTGACCTTACTTTTAATTCTTTAATGCATTTTGAGTTGATTTTTGTATGTGTTGTGAGAAAAAGACCAAATTACGTCTTCTGCTTGTGGATATCCAGTTTTCTCAACGCCGTTGATTGAAGAACTGTTTTTTTCCATTGGGTGTTCTTGATAGTTTTGACAATTGACCATACAGTGTGGGTTCATTTCTGCACCCTCCATACAGTTCCATTGGTCAATATGTCTATTTTTTTCTTGGGAGGGGGGCAGTACCATGCTATTTTGATTACTATTGATTTGCAGTGTAATTTGAAATCAGATATTGTGATGCCTCTAGCTTTATTTTATTTTGCTCATTATTGCCTTGAGTATTAGGCCTTTTTGTAATTTCACATAATCTATAGGATTGCTTTTCTATTTTTTATGAGAAATTACAATGAAAGTTTAAGAGAGTTTACATTAAAACTGTAGATAGCTTTGGGTAGGAAGAAATATTTTTTTTTTCTTTTTTCTTTGAGATGGAGTCTTGCTCTGCCACCCAGGCTGGGGTGCATTGGTGTGATCTTGGCTCACTGCAACCTCTGCCTCCTGGGTTAAAGCAATTCTCCTGCCTCACCCTCCTGAGTAGCTGGGATTACAGGCTCACACCACCATGCCCAGCTAATTTTTTGTATTTTTAGTAGAGATGGGGTTTCACCATGTTGGCCAGGCTGGTCTCGAACTCCTGACCTTGTGATCCATCCAGCTCGGCCTCCCAAAGTACTGAGATTACAGGCATAAGCCACCGAACCTGGCCAGGAAGAAAATTTTTAACAATATTAATTCTTCCAATCTATGAACATAGATATCTTTCTACTTATTGTGTCTTCAATCTCTTTCAGTAATGCTTTAGAGTTTTCAGTTTAATGCCTTCTTTTTCTTTCTGATTTTGAGTCGCCTCTCTTTTTGCCCTTAGCCTAGTAAAAGGTTTGTCTATTTTGTTTATTTTTTTAAAGAAGTGACTATTGGGTTTTTTTCCTATGGTTTTTCTATTCTCTGTTTGATGTATTTCTGTTCTGATCTTTATTATTTACTTCTGCTAACTTTAGGGTTTAGTTTGTTCTTCCTTTTCTAGCTCCTTGAGGCATAATGTCAGGCTATTTGGGATCTTCGTTCTTTTTAAGTAGAGGCATTTGTTGCTATAAAGTTCCCTTATAGAACTGCTTTTGCTGCATTCTGTAGGTTTTGATATATTATGTTTCTACTGTCATTTGTTTCAATATATTTTTTAACACTCCTTTTGATTTTTTATTTGACCTACTAGTTGTTCAGGAGCATGTTGTTTAATTTCTACATACTTGTTAATTTTCCAAGATTTCTCTTGTTATTGATTTCCAGTTTCATACTGTTGTGGTCAGAAACAATACTATACATAATTTCAACCTTTTTGAATTTGTTAAGATTTGTTTCATGGCCTAAACTATGCCCTGTCTTGGAGAATGTTACATGGACAGTTGAGAAGAAAGCACATTCTACTGTTCTTGAATGGAAAGTTCTATATATGTTTGTTAGGTTCATTCCATATAAAGTTTTAATAGTCCATTTGCACACTGCTATAAAGAACCACTTGAGACTGGGAAATTTATGAAGAAAAGAGTTTTAATTGACTCATAGTTCTGAAGGCTTCACAGGAAGCATGACTGGGAGGCCTCAGGAAACTTACAATCATGGAAGAAGACTAAGGGGAAGCAAGGACCTTCTTCACATGGTGGCAGTGGGTGCAGGTTGTGGGGAGAAGTGTCACACTTTTTAACCATCAGATCTCGTGAGCACTCACTCACTATCACAAGAAGAGCATGGGGGAAATCTGCCCCCATGATCCAATTAATTCCCACCATGTCCCTCCTTAAAATGTGGGGATTACAATTCTACATGAGATTTGGGTGGGGACAGAGCAAAACAATATCAAAAGTGCAGTTCAAGCCCAGTATTTTCTTGTTAATTTGCTGTCTGGTTGATTTACCTATTAATAAAAGTGGGGTATTGGTGCCTTTTACTATTATTTTAATTTCTTTTTTCAGTCCATTAATATTTGCTTTATATATTCAGGTGAATCAATATTTGGTGCATATATATTTACAATTATTATGTCCTCTTGATTTATTTCCTCCTTTATCATTAAATAATGACCTTCTTTGTCTCCTATAAATGTTTTTCACTTGAACTCTAAGTATAGCCATCCCTGCTGACTTTTGGTTACCATGTGCATGGAATACATTTTCCATCACTTCACTTTCAGTTATGAATACTCTTAAAGCTAAAAAGAATCTCTTATATGCAACATGTAATTTGATCTTTTTAAAAATACATGCAGCCACTGTATGTATTTTGATGGAAGAATTAATTTACATTCAAGGTTATTATTGATAGGTAACAACTTACTCTTGCAATTTTTATTCATTGCTTTTTAAATAAAGCATTATTTTAATTTGCATTTCTTTTATGACATATGATATGGAGCATCTTGTCATATGCTCTCTTGGTATGTGTGTATTTCCTTTGATGAGGTGTCTGTTAAGATCTTTGGACCATTTTTTAGTGGGGTTGTTTATTATGATTGTGTTTTAAAAGTTCTTTGCATTATTAGATAATTATTTATTAGGTATGTCTTTAGTACATTTTTTTTCTTCTCTTGATACCAGATGATTTTTAACCTCTCTTCTCTCATTTCTACATGAACAGTGTCATTTATAGTTGGCTAAATTCTTCCATGGTCCTGATATCTTGTACCTCATCCTATCCTCTAAATCTAGAAGAAATGAACAAAATGGATTTGAGATGCTCTCACTATCTTTTTCCTTTTCTATGTACACCTTTCCAAAACTGGAATGTAGATGGAAAGAGAAGAGAGAGAAGTAAGAAAAAGGTAGCAAAAGTAAAAGAAGAGTTATCATTCTTACGCCTGTTATCAAATAGAAGTAATCTTTTTTGCTTACCTTTCCTGAAGACTAATTTATTATAGTTTCATCTGTCACATAATTCTGTAACACATTACCTTGTTTATTTGTAAAAACTTGCTAAATTTTATGTAGTCTTTGTTACACTGAGAACTCTAGCAGGGCAGGGGTCATGGTTATATTGTTCACCATTATATACTTAGGATCTCACAGCTACGCTAAGTAATATTTATGTACTCAACAATAGTGAGACAGTATGGGTAAAAATTGATTCATTTATGGTCCTTGCCATTAGGACACTCATATTATCATCTTAATGGAGAAAAAGATACTTTAAAAATTGTAATATTATATACCAAATACTATATAGGAATATCTGAAAATGTGCTATGGTTCCAAAAGAGAGAGATCATATATATTTCTGTGGCAGCCTAGGAAAAGTGTGTAAAGAGATGAAAAGGTCAGCATAAGAAATTTATTTGGATGAGAGAATTCAACCAGAAAATTGGAGGAAGAGTGAAAAAAGGTAAACTCAGGCAGAAGGAAACCCAACTTGTTTGTATTGTTATCAGGTTAGATGTAGGGAAGAGGGGATAAATTCAGAAAGGAAATGATATGGTTTGGCTCTGTGTCCCCACCCAAATCTCATTTTGAATTGTTCTCCCATAATTCCCATGTATTGTGGGAGGGAGCCAGTGGGAGACAATTGAATCATGTGGGTGGTTCCCCATACTGTTCTCGTGGTAGTGAATAAGTCTCACGAGATCTGATGGTTTCATCAAGAGTTTCTGCTTTTGCATTTTTCTCATTTTTCTCTTGCTGCCAGCATGTAATAATTCTTTCACCTCCCGCCATAAATCAGAGGCCTCCCCAATCATGTGGAAATGTAAGTCCAATTAAACCTCTTTTTATCCCGTCTTGGGTATGTCTTTATCAGCAGCATGAAAACAGACTAATACAGGAATCTTAAGATAGGTAAAAGAAAGGGATTGCATGACATTGTTAGGAGTTAGTATTTTATCTGATAGCTCGAGAGCACCACTAGAAAATTTTCAGCAAGGTACTGATTGAACAGATACACAATGTGAAAAGATTATTAGGTATCAGAAAGATTGGTTCACTTTTATCTGACACCATTTGGTGATTAAAATGTTATGGATTGATATATTTTTAAAGATGAAATTACTCTTTTTGTATCCTTATCATTTTTGCTCATGAATTTCTTATACTTCTATAAAATTAAGGTCTTTCAATGGTATTCCTCTGTATGAGCCCATTTTCATGCTGCTGATAAAGATATACCTGAGACTGTGAAGAAAAATAGGCTTAATGGCCTCACAGCTCTTTGTGGTTAGGGAGGCCTCACAATCACAGAGGAAAGTGAAAAGCACTTTTTACATGGTGGTGGCAAGACAGAATGTGAAAGAAGTAAAAGTGAAAACTCCTTATAAAACCATCAGATCAGGATGTGGAGAAAAGGAAACCCTTGCATACTGTTGGTGGGAATGTGAATTAGTGCAACCATCATGGGAAAGATCCATCAATTTTACTTCTATGTATTTACTCAAAAGATTTGAAATCAGTTTGTCAAAGAGATGTGCACATTCCGTTACTCATTGCAGCACTTTTCACAATAGCCAAGTTATAGGATCAACCTTATATTTATAATGGATCAGAGAATAAAGAAAATGCAGTACATATACACACAATGGAATACTATTCAGCCCTAAAAAATAATGAAATTCTGTCATTTGCGACAACCTAGATGAAACAAGAGAATATTATGCTAAATGAAAGAAGTCAGGCACAAAAAGACGGATATCACATATTCTCACTGACATGTGGGATCTAACACATTTGAACTGATAGAAACAGAAAGCAGAGGCTGGAGGGTTGAGAGAAATGGGGAGATGATGGTCAAAGGGTAAAAAATCTCAGATAAGAGGAACAGGGTCTTTTTAAATCTATTGCACAACATGGTGAATATAATTAGTAACAGTGTACTGTACATTTCAAAAATTCTAATAAATTTCAAATGTTCACACCATAAAAAAGTATCTGAGGTGATTGATATGCTAATTAGTTTAATCATTCCTTATTGTATTCATAAATCACAATGTCACTTTTACGTCATAAATATACACATTATAACTGTTTAGTTTAAAAAATTTTTTTAAATAATATAAACGCATTCTAATTGAAGGAATATTTATAGAATATGCAGGAAAATATTCAGGTACCTAAGATCATAAAGGGAGATGCTTATATATGGCATATAAAATGTATCAATGAAGAATTCAAATTATAGAGTATATGTATTAGACAGTTGCCTTTTATTAATATTCTGTATATCCTCTAACTTGTGAAAAAGAAAATGTTATCAACCTGTAATGAAACAGCCAACTATTTTTACTGGTTCTGACATATTTCATATATATTAGTTAAAAGTGACTGGTGAAATAGATTTGCTGTCATATTTCTTGAGTATTAAACCATGAAACTCTGACACTAAGTATGAAAATAGAAATAATTTTATCCTATAAACCCTACCTTTCTTATGATTTTGCCATCAGCAATCATTAGAATAGTGTTAGGAATGGTTATGTCAGCAATGATTTCCTTACTATTATGCTTTTTTCCAAATCTAATGTAAAATTCCAAGGAAAGAATTATAAGAGTTGGACCATTTTATATTAAATCATTATCCTGATTAATCATTAAGAACCCTAAAATTGGAAGAAAAAAATATATCTTTTTCAAGACAGTGAACTACCCATCCTTTAAGTATTGCTGAAGTCCCTTTTGCAATTTGGTCTGTCTGCTTTGGTCTCACTAAGCTCCAGCTATCTAAGTCCCTGCACTAATAACAGGTATTTGTTTATGTCCAATATTGCATTTTTCTCTATTTTATGTCAAATTTGTTTTTCCTTATCTTTCTTCTAAAAAAGAAAGATGATTTATGTTTATATTTTATGTTCATTATTTTACAGAGCTAAGCAGGAAAGAAAGAGTAATGAAATTCTTGTAGATTGGTCAAATGTAAAGAAAATATACAGGCCTTTGGAGATGATTTTTCTCCTAGTATATCTTGAGCTCTGTTTACTAAAAAGATTGTTTACTAAACATGTCTTTAGAGATGATACTTCTCCTAATACATTTTGAGCTCTGTTACTAAAAGTTCAAGACATGTTTGGAAATGGAAAACCATTTTGCTTGTTCAGATAATGCCTTATGATAGGAATTTTCTTAACTTTATATAGTAGATATCAATCACTCTCTTCCCACAAAATGATAGTTATCTAATTACAATATACTGATTGGCTGATGGTAAAATCCCAGGTAGGTTTCATTAGAAACAGGTTTCCAGCTGGTTAACAGTGGGTCATACTAATACTCTGCTTTCTCGGCTATATATTTAATATCCCTAAACATACAAAGACAAGACAGTTCTAAAAATGTATAAATAGAGACCACTAACATATTCTTTCAATTATTAGAGAACATTTCTTCAAAACACTTTTTTTTTTTAATTTTCTAAAACCTCGTATTAGAAGTGATCAAAACATTTCTTTAAAATTCTTTATGCTACCTATTCTGATTCAAGTACTAAAAATATAATATGCTCAATCTTTATCACAATCCAATTATGTGAACATGGTTATATCTGCTTATACATGAGGACACTAAGTGTAATAGGGACTCAGTAACTTCTTCAGGTTTCATCCAGGTGAAACTAAAATTTGCACACAGGTCATCTGACTACAAAGGCCAAAGACTCCATGCAACATGCTATGAATATGTCTGTCACATGAGGGTCAGCAAATGCAAAGCATTTGGGTTTGGTATTTAGAACAAACATTTGACTAGCTTTTTTCTAATAAGAGTGACTCCTCATTGATCTTACCCACCTCTGCTAACCCAAGGACAACTATCTGACATAGTCTGACAGTCTGTGGCTAACTGATCTAAAGTAAAATTTGAAGCCATGGTCTTGGACTAATAAGTAAATGAATTAAATGATCCAATCTTTGTGTATAAAATCTGTCAGAACTCTGTTTTATGAGAATTATCCATTTCTACATTGTTTGGGTACCATTTGGTCAACATTTACAATATTAATCACGGCTGTTCACAGTGGTGCTCACAATTCATCAAATTCCCTGTTGAAGCCTCCTAGATTGTAGCATGCAGCCTGTTAATGATGTCTGTGGAGCAGGCATAACTTATTGAGATGCTTATGTTTTCAGTGACATATAATCTAGACTTAACAAATATGCCAGGAATGTACAGCTTGAACAGGTGTAATTTGAGTTTATTTGTTAATTCAGTCTCTGAAAATTATTAGATCTAGATTTAGCCCTGCAAAATCACTTCAAATATTAAAATTGTGCTGCTTATGCAAAGGGAAAATAGAATGCATTTTAATGGAAGGGCTGACCTGCAGAAAGATGAATAATTTGCATCAATTTTTGTGCATTATGTTAAACTAATGAAGACAAATGTATTCATTCACTTCAGTAAAGCTGAAAAACGGAAGGCTGGCAATTTTATGCATCTATAATGATGAATATTTCAGTACTTATTATATCATAAATTGAGAATTTTAGAAATGGATGGTGAATAAAACAGGGAACGACATTCTTCTCATACTGATTTCTATTTTTACAAACATTGGCATCTGCCTCAAACAAACAACGTACCTCCACTGGTACCAATTCTACATCTCTTACCTCACCAAATAATGAGAAATTTAAAAATAAAGAGTGAATCTTAAGCATTTAACATTAGAAAACAGAAGTAAAAAAAGGAAATTTCATTTTGTTTATATGTCAAAGTAGTGT